>NC_000010.11:82415822-82567337 GCF_000001405.40 Homo sapiens
TATTTTCTGGCAAACTAAAGTATATGTGATGTAAAGATGTTCAGGTAATTTGTGGGCTTATCTATTGTCTTAAATATAGAACTACTTTTCACTCATTTTTGGCATACACAGTTGTGTATTCAGATAATTGTCAGTGCAATGCTAAATGTGTTATGTTAAAAAATGATGAACATATTACCTCTCAGTTCTTGTTATAGATAATTTCTTGCAAATTTTAAGCTAGAGATAGTCAATATTTAATCAGAGAACATCTTCCCAGGATTCAAAGTATACCACATCAGCTGTTGAATGCAGTTAATTTGCATTAATGTGTTACAAATCAATGTTCTGTAGTATTTTAGGAACTGTAAAACATACCTTTCAAGACAAAGTCCAAACTCTTTAGTATGCAATATGTAGTTAACCTATTCTGGAATGTCTCTTCTAACTGAGAGCCACCCTGTAGGGAATTACCTTAGTCTTTTAATTCCTGTTTGTATCAGGTGACTTAGCAACCACCTGCATAGCAGGAAGACGGCACCAAGGAATATATTCATCCCCTTACATAGTTTGAACTATGTGACCAAGAAATTACAGTCCATTTGTATAGAGTGCCAAGCTCTGAAGGCTGGAAGACATGTAAGTTCATGTATAAGCATAAGAAGGTTGTCCATAGAATGAAAAGAGAGGAGGAGAGAGTTAAGGGCCATCTGGGCTCCCAGAGAAAGTGAGCTCAGGTCCCCTTTGGGCCCTAAGGATGAAACAACTGCCCTTTGCCTGGATTCACTTGACTGGGTTCTTTGCTGTCATTGGTAGACACATAGAGCCCTCCTGTCTGCTTTAGTCTTGTTCTACCTTCTCAGCCTCATATAGCAATACCTCTTATATTCTGCCCCCACCCACCCTGACCATCTCAGTGATTTTTGAATAAATCTTGTCTTTCACTCGCCTCTGCCTTTGCGTAGAGGATACCTGCTGTGCAAAGGTGATGTGAGAAAGTCAGGTCTAAATTCACCTCCAGACTCTGCCTTTGGTGGGCTGTGTAATATTATGCACATCACTTCAATCCTTAGATTTCTCATGTCTAGTATGGAGGAAATAGTACTTAACATGGAGACTTTTCAGGAAAATTAAGTGAGGTATTATCCACACAGCCCTCATAATGGTGCCCAACACTGTGGTTATCAATAGATTTTAGTACCATTTTTGCCAGAAAGTTGAGGCAGATTCTAATCCAACTTTTAATATCCAGATCTATCCATTATTCCCTGATTCAGTCCCCAAGGTCACTCATTCTTTCCCTTCAGCTCCACAAAAAATCCACTTACAAATATTTTATACACTAAATCACATCATAATCATTATGGATTTCTCCAAAATTAAAGTAACAACTTTTTCTGGTTCTCTGAAAATATGAATAAAAGAGGCTGATAATGCTGCATGCCCAGAGGTGAACATGGTTCAATAAGAGAGAGAGACCTTGTGGAAGTGATGCTGGAATTGAAATCCAAGGATTGAGTAGTGGCAATGGAAGAAGAGAATAGTATTCCAGGCAAAATACATGGATATAGATTCCAGGGGAATTATGTATGAAGAAGGAGCATAGTGAAACTTAGGCCCTGCAAGGCCAGTGCAGCAGAGATAAGCCTGTTTCCTTGGGTAATGGTAGGGACTGTAGGGCACAGTGAACAGTGTTTATGTCATTCTATAAATAATACTGATAGGACCACTTATTGAGTACTTCTTACATGCCAGAAGTTCTTTGGTGCTTTCATTACATTAACTTATGCTATTGTCCACAGTATTCTAAGGTGGTTGCTATTAGATTTCCAATTTTACAGAAGGGGAAACTGAGGCACGGGGCGGTGAAGTAACTCCCAGAATGTTCACAGTCAGCGAAATGGTGGATTCTGAATACAAATGAACACAATGAGGCTCCAGGTTTCCTGCTTATTATCACCGCGAAGCCCAGCCTCAGCGAGCAAGGGAAGGAGCTAGAGAGCGGGCTCCCAGGCACATCTGCATGTGTGCACTGGCCTTGTAACATCAGTCTGGCTCTTAAGAGCTGATCAGAAAGAGGACAGAAGGGGAGCTGGCACACTGGTTAGGTGAAATGAGAAAGCTCAATGAGTGATGATGGTAATTCAGACTAGAATAGTTAGTGTTATTTTGTGAAAGGAAATTTCAATTTAACCAGAGCACCTTGAAGTGAAGGCTTTGAATTGGAAAGAAGGTTTTAAATTGCTATCAGAATTTGCCATTTTAGTGATTGAAACATTTTAGGGCCAAATGTGCCATGCTGCACCTTTCCAGAAGGAACTATTTGAGGGAAATAACTGTCAGCTCCTATAGTACCAGTGTTTAAAATGTAAGTTTAGGGAGAAAGGCAGTTCACCTTCTCTCCAGGTGGGGACTGACTGAGGTGTTGAACAACCAGATTTGGGGATGGTATTTTTTGAATTTAATTAACTGCTACATGTGAACTAGTAAGATCAAATCACCCACAAGGTAGATATTTGAGAAACTCAGTGTAAATGTGGAAAAGTTGATGTTATGTTCCAAAGATGTAATAAAAAATTAACCAGTTTATGCAAATGTTTATGCAAATTAACCAGTTTATGCAAATGTTTATGCAAATTAACCAGTTTATGCAAATGAAAAGAGGAGGTAAGAAGGTATAAGATGCTATGTTTGCATCATTCACTGGGAACATTTGAACTTTGCAGATTAATGTCCTTGGTGGAAGAAGTTATGACATTATGTTATTTGTTGGGGAAAAACCCTCCAGTGTAAAGACTTTTATTTATTTATTTATTAAAGGCAGGATCTCACTCTGTTGCCTAGGCTGGAGTGCAGCAGTTTGATCATAGCTTACTGTAGCCTCAAATTCCAGGGCTCAAGCAATCCTGCCTCCTCAGCCTCCTGAGTAGCTAGTACAATACATGCCACCATGCCCTGCTAATATTTTTTTCTTTTTTTTTTGGAGACAGAGTCTCCCTATGTTGCCTAAGCTGGTCTCAAACTCCTGGTCTTAGGCAATCCTCGCACCTCAGGCTCCCTCAGCACTGGATTACAGAATACTTAAAAATAACATAAATCAGTCAGATATTTAAGCCTCACAAACTTTTCCTGAAGATTTACTGAGCTACTTCTTCAGATGAAAAAGACATTTTGTAATAAATGGTTTCTGAAAAACCAAACCCTCAAAATTGTAACTGGGATGGATATGATTAGTGAAACACATTAAACTTAACCCTACAGGGATAAACCAAGAGCGCTACTGATGTTTATAAGGAAATACAAGCATTACATCTTAAACTAGACAAGTTTCCACTGCTGAGCTACCCTGAGCTTAGTGAAATTAACTATTTTCACAAAATGGAAATCCATTAATGGAAATGACATCATAAATTCAGAAAAGATTCTTAGATTTTAATATACTTTTCCTAATTTAAGGCAAATTGAGCCACCAAGAATTGAAAGAGAACATATTTGGATAATTGAAAGGCAGAGTTTAAACATTCCGGAAATAACTATCTGCACTTTCAAATGCAAGGTCTTGCTTAGGTTTGGAACAACACAGGTTTTCTTGATCACTTGTCTAAAACAGTAACTGAGAGCCACACAACACAACCTCGTTTTATAAAGGTTGTCTCTGATACTTAGAAAAATCTAAATGTTTCTGTACTTTTGCAAGTTACTAAAGTCTTTCCATTAAATTATTTGACTTTTTTTTCTCCCGCCCAAAAAGTGATTAGCGCACAACAAAATGTGTGTGATTTGTTAATGGAGTATTCTTTCATTGCAGATTTATATGTTCTTAAAACAGTGCAAGCCTTTTGTGGAAATAATGTATTTTGAAATCATATATTCTTATATACATGTCTCTAAAAGTTCATCAAATAAAACGTAGGAATAGACATTTTTACAAACAGAAAACAGTCATGTGGTTCTGCTATCCAAACACAGTGACATGATCTTTTAGAGTTTATTTTCAGTCTTTTACATATTGACCCTGTTTTTCCTCCATATTTGTATTCTTTTAGGTTTGTTTACAGAGTTGTAATAGAGCATTTGTGTGAAGCAGTTTATATGGTAAGTGACAGAAATTCAGCTCAGAGACACTAATATACTCACAGGATGTATTGGTCTATATTGTTCCTCTAGGAAGGTGTGATCCAGAAACTCAAGAGAAGTCATCAAGGACTCAGTCTCTCTACATATTTTTCTTCCTTTATAAGTAAATGGCCTGCAAATCTTTTCTCATTTCTGCCGCTCTCCCTGAAGGACCTGGTAGAGTACTTCCTTTTGAAATATCTGGCTGCAGTTGGCCTATAGCTCAGTCTGGGTTTCTGGCTTGTTCTGTGCATTTGTTTTTCGTGCTTCAATTAGCCATTGTGTCCTGGTAATGGAAGGAAACAATCCTCAGAGATCTTGTCACACTAAGTCTGTGGCACAATTTGAAACATTCAGTAATACCAGCTGTTCTAAGCAGAACAGAAGTCATAATTAGGGATGCAATGATTTCACACTAAACTGTAGTTACAGAATATATAACTACATTTTAATGCTCATCAATTTTTATCTTATACTGTATTTATCTTCAAAGAACAAATGAACCAAGTGAATTGGATTTCAGATACACAGAGCTGGATTTATCTAATATTCCCTTTCTCATCTTCTGCTGTAAAAAAATTATTTCTTCTTATGTAAACTACCTAAGAAGTATCTTTTCCTCCCAGAATACTGTAGCTTTGTCTGCTCAAATCCAAATTATATAAAATGGCAAAGCTGCTCTGGAACACATTTTGGCTGTTTAATACACAGTTAAACATACAATTTCCATGTGACCTCATCATCCCACATCCAGGAAATTATCCTAAAGAAATAAAATTGATGTTCATGTATAAACCTGCTTAATAATTTTTTAGAAAAGTACCATTGCCAAGAACTGGAAACAACCCAAATTTCCTTCAGTGGGAGAATGGACAAAAACTATGGTATATGCATAAAATGGACAATAAAAAGGGAAAAATTATTGATATGTGCAATCTGGATAAATCTGTAGAGGCATCAGTATAAGTGACTGTAGCTAGATTAAATACTTTGTAATTCCATTTATGACATTCTGAAAATGTAAAAGTATAGGGACAGATTGGAGATTGCCAGGGATTGGCAGTGACAGAAGGGTGTGTTAATTACAGGGGCAGCATGAGGCATTTCTTTATGGTGCTGGGATCATCAGTATCTGTTTGTGCTGGTGGTTGCAAGAATCTTCATATGGGCTAAAACTCATACAACTGTATAGCAATAATGTGAATATTACTGACTGTTAAATAAGATATCTATGAGTGAACCTTCACTAGGCAAATAAAATAAATAAGTATTAACACCTGTGACTCATATCTGTTGTCATTTTCCAAAGCTTGAAGCCCAGCATAACATCATGCTTGGTTTTCCAATTCATCATGCTTTTGATCTTTGTATGACACATGCAGAATTTGGGAAACATCTTGGGAGATAATGAGTTTTTAGTAATTTGGGAGATAATGAGTGCTATGTTGGGATAAGTTAACACTTGTTTTGTTAAATATTACATGGAAGGGAATAGAGAAAAAGTCTATGCGGCAACAATGATGTACTCTTAGCATGACACATGGAAGCTTATGAAAAATTATTAAAGACTTTGCACTCAGTTACCAAAAAAAAAGTCTATTATGTAAGAGATCTGGATCACCCCCAGCAGATGTAGGGCTGAATTGTTGGTTGCTGTTCATCTGTAAAAAATGAATTTCCCAAATGCTTCTCTAGTGCTTATTCAGCTCTGCTTAGAGAAGTTTTATCCTTGCATTTATTTTTTTCTTTTCGTGGCCATAGTGAGAATGGTATTAAGAACTGGGCTAAGCCCCAGTTCTGCATCTGCTTGCTCCTTTAAATTAGTGAGAGCAAGCTCATTCTAGTTCAGTTCCTGAGTAGCTGTAATTAATGGTTTGTAGTATTCACATGGCTTTTGAAAAGGACCCCTTTCTCTCTTTAAAGCACCTTTAAACTTTCTAGAAAAAAACCATGTAATACTGCCTTGAAAACAGTCCCTTCTGGGTGTCATTTCAACTACTTTCGGTTCAACTTCAAGTTGTCCAGGGAAAATAAACCCATCAAGTAGTGCCTGCATTGTTAGCTTGAGAACCAGAAGGAACTTCGACCACATTTGCTTTTGAGAATGTAATAATTTACATGTGATATATGATCGTTTAGTTAAGCAACAGTGATACAGAGGAGCTTCACCTTGGCCTCATCCATTGATTGTGCAGATTTCAATACACTTGTTTAAGCTTTGTGGATGTGGTTGTTCATTCAATCAACAGAAGTTTACTTTTGCCTATCCTGGACCAGAAATCAGACATAAGCTCAGGATATTAAAAGATGCTTATATGTGTGTTTGGGGAAAGGGATAAGAAAATGTAGAGAAAACAGAGAAAAGTACATGTTGTGAGATATGTTTGATAAAATCTGGGTTGATCAAATTTAAACAAGATTCCAGAATTTGTAATGTATTAATATGCACAATGACCTTTCAAGAATGGAATCTAATGTGCAATGATTCTCAAATCTCTCTGACTGGGAAAGCCCCTGTTAATTTTTCTCAGAGAACTTTATAATTGTAGTATCCTTTTCTACACACTTTGCAAAATGTATGGATGTTAGCAAAAAAAAATTATCTTTTATGTATTGATTATTATCAGCAATGCTTCTTACTGCCTCAGAGCCAGAGAAATTGCAAGCAGTGCCTGAAGTGTTGTTTGCCAAGCTTCTGGTAACATACAACATTGTTTTTTGTTTTGTTTTGTTTTGAATTACTGTTTATCAAATAGAAATTTAGCTATGTCAGTGGTCAGAATTGTGGAAATAGTATACATACAAACTTGTTTTGTTTTGGGAAGAACTAGATGATTAAGGCAGCTTTGCTATGTGGTAAATTATATTTTATGCCTGGGTAACAGTTGTCAACTAAAAATGGGAGATTTGCTGTCAGAACTTGTTGAGAGTGGCATGCTCAGTGTATAAGTAGGTTTCCTGCCATAACTACATTGAGTATATGCATTATATAAATGATATATGAGTTTTTAGTAATTTGAAGAGAAATGTAATACCTAAATACATTTTCCTTTCTGTTACTTACCCCATATAGTTTTGCAACATTTAGTGCCAAGCTAAGGTGACTTTTGATTATTGAATTAACTTCTTAATTCCAAAGAGTTTGTGCACATCAATAGAATTTTGTTCAAATAAATTAGACTATAGACTAAAAACAATTTCTAGAAAAACATGTTGGCTTGCCACTTAAGATTATTTCTCTGATGTCTAAAACAAATTGAAACTTAGTTTCAATGTAGCATTGTATTTAATATAATCATAATTTCAACTGTTTTAGGAAAATATTTTATTAATAAACCACCATAGTCCATCAAACAGATAATCTGTATTATACTAGCATGTTAGCTTAAAATGATTTTGTATATATTATCGTTATAATTATATATATCTAATGATTGAAGAAAGAGAACTGATCCACTACATTGTTGTTGAAAGTGAATTTAGAATGAGTTATATGTTAATGCAATCTTGCTATCTTTGGCTGATTCTGGAAGGAGTTGAAACCTTAATTGATCAATCACTTGATTCAGCTGAAACTTAGAGTGAAGATTTAAAGTGTTCTTAATTTGATCAAAATGGCAATTTTTTTTTCTGAATCCAATATGTGGAGGGAAACACAAGGAAACAGTAATTACCATTATGAAAGTTTCATGAAATTATGGTGACACTTTTAAGTCTATTTTTTAAAGAGCTTTATTGAGAAACAATTCACATACTATGTAATCCCCCTTTTAAAGTGGGTCATTTAAAGGTGTTGATATTCACATAGCAGTGCAATCACCGCCACTATTTAATTTTAGCATATTTTCATCACTCAGAAAGAAACCTCATACCATTAGCTGTTAGTCTACATTCGCCCATTTTCCATAACCTGACAACCACTAATCTACGTATGTATTTGTCTAGTATGGACATTTCATACAAATTGAATCCTACAACATGTGATCATTTGTCCCTGGCTTCTTTAAATTAACAAAATTCTTTCAAAGTTTATCCGTGTTGTAGCATGAAGTACTTCAGCCTTTTATGAGTGAATAATATTCCATTGTATGGGTATATCAGATTTTCTTTATTCATTCATCAGCTGATGGACATTTGGCTTGTATCTACATTTTAGCTATGGTGACTAATGCTTCTATAGACATTTGCCCAAAAGTTTTTGTATGGACATATTTTTTCACTTCTTTTGAGCATGTACCCTAGGGATGGAATTGCTGGATCACATGGTAATTCTGCATTTAACATCTTCAGTAACTGCCAAACTGTTTTCTGTTTTGCAAAGTGGCTCTAGCATTTTAAATCCCACCAGCAAAAATGTGAGGGGACCAATTTCTCTATATCTTCATCCACAGTTATTATTGTCTGCCTTTTTTGATATTAATCATCCTATTGGATGTGAAGTGGCACCTCATTGAGGTTTTGATGTGCATTTCTTGATGAATGATAATGAGCACTTTTTGTATGCTTATTGGCCATTTATGCATTTTTGGAGTAATATTTTTCAAATTATTTTCCTATTTAAAAATTGGGTGATTTGTGTTTTTATCATTATTATATGACATTTTCATATGTTCAGGATACAAATCCCTTTTGAGGCATATGACATCCAAATATTTATCCATTTTGTGAATTATCTTTTCATTTTATAAAATTGTATCCTTTAAAGTGCAAAAGAGTTAATTTTGACAAAGTTAAATTTACACATTTCTTTTTTATTGTTGCTGACCTTTTGTTGTTATTTCTAGTAAACTATCACCTAACTCGAGGACACAAAGATTTACTCCTATGCTTCTTTTAAAATTTTTATAGTTTTAGCTCTTACATTTAGGTCTATGATCTATTTTGAGTTAACTCTTCATATGGTATGAGGTCAGGTTCCAAATTTATTCTTTTGGATGTGGGTATCTAGTTGTCTCAGCAGTTTATTTAAAAAAAAATTCTTTCCTCCACTGAATTGTCTTAGCACCCATATAGAAAATCAATTGACCATAAATGCAAAGATTTATTTCTAGACTCTCAAATCTATTCCATTGATCTATATGTATATTGAAATACAAATTCCATAGGTCTTGATTGCTGTGTTGATTACTGCAAGTTTGTAACAAGTATTGAAATTATGAAGTGTGGGTCCTCTGCTTTGTTCTTTCTCAAGATTGTTTGGTTATTCTGGAATCTTGAAATTCTCTACGAACTTAGGATTAACTTTTCAATTTTGGCAAAAAGGCCAGCTGGGGTTACAGTAGGGATCACATTGAATCTGCTCATCAACTTGGGGACTATAGATATTATAACAATATTAAGTCTTCTGATTCATTACATTGGGTCTCATTTCAAATATTTAGGCTTTCTTAATTTTTTCAACAATGTTTGTTGCATAATGGAAGACTTGTATTGTTTTTCTTAAGTTTGTTTTTAAGTATTTTATTTGTAATGCTATTTTAAATGGAGGTTTTTTTTTTAGAGTTTCCATTTCTCTGCTTGCATTACCCATCTGCTTTTGTATGTTGTCCTTTTCTTTTCCCCATTAGAACTCTTAGCAAATTAATCATAGTTATTTTAAATTTCTGTTCTGCTAATTCCAAAATGTGTATTATATCTAAGTCTTGTTTTAACGCATGCTTTGTCTCTTCAGGCTGTGTTTTTTATTTGTTTATTTGTTTTCTTTTGGTGTGACTTGTAATTATTTTGTTGAAAGCCACACACGGTGTATTGGATAATAAGAACTGAGAACATTAGTCTTTGATTGAGATTTTATGTTCATTTGCCAAGCAAATGTGTTTACTGTTTGTTGTAGTTATGATTTCAGACACTAAATTTTTATCTAATGTTGTGTTTGAGTCTTGCCTGTTGTCTTTGGGTTCTCCTAGAGACTCCTTCTTAAATAGTTCATTAGCCTTGTAGTTTTTTGTTCTAGCCTGTTATTATAGAAGAGTCCTATTGATGTGGTGATAAGCTGCCGTGAGAGGGGAAGCATTTTACAAACCTGTGATTAGATCTGAACCTTTTAGTGAACATGTGTCCCTGAGATGTGACCATCACAAATAATTCTTGGCTTTCCACCTTCCTCTAAGGTAAAACGGGTTTTGCTAGAGTCTAACCAACCTCAGACAAAGGAAATACCCAACTCCAGCCCACTCTAGCCTTTCGGCTCAGGTAGTATTATTTCCATTGAGGGCAGACCTTTCTTAAGAACAGAGCACTCTGGGTATATTTCAAAATACAACACCAGAGGTTTTTCTCCCATCTTCACTCTGAGACCCCTGGTGGGACTCCTGAAGGTAAAAGTTATGAAAGTGTGTGAGGGCTCCCGCTAAAGCTGGGACAAGAGGAATTTTAATTTCTCATTATAGTCCACGCTCAGTCTCCAGTAGTGAGTAAGTTCATTTTTAATGATTTATGACTGTTGTTGTCTCCAATAGTGGCTTCCGTTGTTCCTTGTAAGCTCTATGTATTCAAATGTGTCTCTAGTTTTGTATAATGGTTGTTTGCCCTGTGACCTAAATTCTCTGATATATCTAAGAAAAGTTATCTATTTTCAGGTTTTTTTTTTTTTAGCTTCTTTCTTGTTGTGAGGACAGGAAATGGATGACAGCTTTCAAGCTTTTTACCTTTTGGACTGAAAGTTGAAAGTCCTCAATGGAATTATTATTATTATTATTATTATTATTATTATTATTATTATTATTATTATTTTGAGACAGGGTCTCACTTTATTACCCCAGCTGGAGAGCAGTGGATGTGATCTTGGCCCACTGCAGCCTTTGCCTCCTGGGCTTAAGTGATTCTCCAGCCTCAGCCTCCTGAATAGCTGGGACTACAGACATGCACCACCACGCCCAGCTAATTTTTGTAATTTTTAATTTTCTTTTCTTTTGGTAAAGATGGAGTTTCACCATGTTTTCCAGACTGGTCTCGAACTCCTGGGTTCAAGCAATTCATCCACCTCAGCCTCCCACAGTGCTGGGATTACAGGCATAAGCCACTGTGCCCAGCCTGGAATTCTTTTCTTAATTTCATTTTCAGATTGTTCATTGCTAGTGTATAGAAATATGACTGATTTTTGTATATAGGCCTCATATCGTGCAATCATACTGAACTTTTAAATTCGTTCCAGTAGGGTATGTGTGGGTGTGCATTTGTGTGTTTTGGTATTTTTGCAAGATAATATCATCTTCAAATAGAGATGGTTTTACTTTTTCATTTTCAATCTTGTCTTTTATTTCTTTCTTAACTGATTGTCCTAGCTAGAACCTATACTGCAATGTTGAATATAAGAAGCAAGAACAGGTATGTTGTCTGTTTTTTATTTTAGGGGGAAAGCGCTCTATCTTGCATCATTCATTATAATGGTGTTGGTTTTTCATAAACGCTCCTTATGAGTGTGTGAAAGTTCTTTTTTATTCCTAGTTTTCTGACAGTCTTTCTTATGAAAGAATGTGAGACTTTTTGCCAAATGCTTTTTCTACTATCATGGAGATTATAAGTTATTTATATTTGTCCTTTAGTCTATTGATATGATGTATTACATCGATTAATTTTTGGATATTAAGACAACCATAAATTTATACAATAAGTAAAAAATGTTTATGTTGTACAATCCTAGTTATATGTTGCTAGATTTGGTTTCTTACTATTTTGTTGAGTTGTATTTTGTATGTCTATGTTCAGAAGGAATATTGGTTCGTAGCTTTGTGTTCATGTTTGTTTTGCTTTTCCTTGTGAGGTCTTTCTTGCTTGGTTATGTATCAGAATAACACTGGTCTCACTTTGAGTCAATAAGTGATTCTTCCTCTTCCTTTATTTTTTGGAAGATTTACAAAGGACTGGTATTAATTCATCTTTAAACATTTGGTAGATTTTATCAGTGATGTCATCTGGGCTTGGTCTTTTATTGTAGGAGGTTTTAAAATTACTAAACTGATTTTATTTATTTGCTATATATATTCAGATATTTTATTTCTTCTTAAGTCAGATTTTATAGTTTGTACCCTTTTAAGAATTTGTCCATTTCATTAAGATTATTTAATTTGCTAACAACAGTTGTTCATAGCATTCCTTATTCTTCTTATTTTCCTCTAAGTTTGGAAGTGATATCTCCTCTTTCATTTCTGGCTAGCAATTTGAACTTCTGTATTCATGGTTAGTCTAGTTAAAAATTTTTCAATTTGGTCGATCTTTTTAATGAGCTAAAGTTTTGTTTTGTTGAGTTTCTCTATATTTTTAGTTCTCTACTATTTTTTCCAATCTAATCTTTATTATTTTCTTTTCTTCTGCTTATTTAGTTTGCTCTTATTTCTCCACTTTCTTAAGGTATATGTTTAGGTTTTGATTTGAGATATTTCTTCTTTTTTAATATAGGCATTTGTGCCTATTAATACTTTACTAAGCACAGCAATAGCTGAATTTCATAATTGTTGGTACGTTGTTTTTTCTGTTAATTGATCTGAAATGATTTCCTAATTCCCCTTGTGAATTTTTTTCCTTTGACTCCTTTGTTATTTAACAGTGTGGGTTTTGTTTGTTGTTTGTTTGTTTTTTACTTACATATATTTGTGAATTTCCTAAATGTCCTTTAGTTAATGATTTCTAAAATTTCATTTCATTGTGTTCAGAAAATATACTTTGTATGATTTCAATATTTTTAAATGCATAAATGTTTGATTTATGTCCTAATATGCAATCTATCCTGGATAATGTTCTGTGTGAACTGGAAAATAATGTTTGATGTTTTTAGGTGGAGTGTTTTATAGATGTCTGTTTAAGTCTGGATAGTTTCTAGTTTTGTTCAAGTCCTCTATTTCTGTATTGATCTTCCTCTTAGTTGTTTTATTCATTATTGAAAGAAGGTGATCAAAATATCCAACTATTAGGGCTGAATTGTCTATTTCTCCCTTCAATTCTATCATTTTCCCACATATATTTCAGTCTATGTTGTTAGGTGTATATATGTTTATATTAATAATTAACGTATATTACTGATACATTAAAAATTTATCATTATAAATTTCATCCTTTTCCTGAGTAATAATATTTGTCTTAAAGTCTCTTTCGCCTGATAGTATGTTTTGAGTTATTTGCTTAGTTTTTGTCCAGGGGATTGCAATTTACATGTTAATTTATAACAATCTAATTGGATTAGTAGCAAATTAATGTCAAAGCTTAAACTCCTCTTTGTTCTATTATTGACATACAAATTCATTTTTTACATTATAAGTCAATCAACACAGTTTTATCCTTATTGCTTGATACAGTTGTTTTTAAATCAGATAGGAAAAGAAAATCCTTACAAAACAAGTATATTTATATTATCTGTTATATTTACCTATGTACTTTAACTAGTGCTTTTATTTCTTCTTGTGGATTTGACTTCCTGTCCAGTATTCCCCCTTTTTATTTAGGTTGTAATTTTTTCTTAACATTTGAATGATAAAATGAATAAATATAGACTTTTTAGTTGGTAGTCTTTTTCTTTTGGTGCTTTGAATATGTCATCCCATTGCCTTCTGGACTCCATGGTTTCTAATGAATAGTTAGCTGTTCATCTTATTGAAGACTCCTTGTGTACTGTAAATTTTGTGTTTTTTTCTCTTTGCATTCAGTCTTTGACCTTTGACAGTTTGACTATGATGTATTTGTGTGTGAATTTCTTTGAATTTATCCAAATCAGAGTTTTTTGAACTTCCAAAAATGTAGATTAGAATTTTTCATCCAATTTTTAAATTTTCAGTTGAAATTCTTTAAATATTTTTTCCGCTATATTCTCTGTTTTCTTTTTCTTGGCCTCTCATCCATCATGCACATATTAGTAAGCTTCATAGTGTCCCGTACGTCTCTGAGTTTCTGTTCATTTTTCTTTATTTGTTTTTCTTTCTATTCTCAGACTGGATAATAATCAATGGATCTATCTTTAAGTTCACCGGTTCATTATTCTGACAGTTGAAATCTGCTGCCAACACCTTCTTGTGAATTTTTATTTCAATAATTGTACTGTTTTTGACCAAACTTCAATTTAGTACTTTTTTTGTTGTTGTTACCATGTCATTCTGCTGAATCTATTTAGTACTTTTTTATAGTTGCTAATCCTTTATTAATAATCTCAGTTTGGAGAAATCAGTCCCAGACTTTGCTTTATTTCTTTGGATGTGGTTTCTTTTACTTCTTTAAACATATTTATAATAGGTCATTCAATGTCTTTTTCTAGTAAGTCCATCATCTAGTCCTTCTCAGAAACAATTTTAGTTGACTATTTTTCCACATATGTTTAGGCCATACTTTCTTGTCTCATTGAGTACCAGTTTTTTTGTTTTTTGTTTTTTTTTGAGATGGAGTCTCGCTCTGTCACCCAGGCTGGAGTGCAGTGGCGCCATCTCGGCTCACTGTAAGCTCTGCCTCCTGGGTTCACGCCATTCTCCTGCCTCAGCCTCCCACATAGCTGGGACTACAGGCACCCACCACCATGCCTGGCTAATTTTTTCTATTTTTAGTAGAGATGGGGTTTCACCATGTTAGCCAGGATGGTCTCGATCTCCTGACCTCATGATCCACCTGCCTTGGCCACCCAAAGTTCTGGGATTACAAGTGTGAGCCACCACGCCCGACCATTGACTACCAATTTTTAACTGCACATTTTAAATAAAATAATATGCCAACATTGTAAATCAAATACCCCTCCCCTTTTGCTTTTGTTATTTCTACTTCTTGGTTTTGTTTTTGTTGTTGTTTGCTTTTAGTTTCTTTCATGGACTAATTTTGTATAGTTTGTGTTTTTGGTCATGAGTAACTACTAAAGTATTTACTGGGATGGTTTGGTGTCAGCTAATGGTTGGAATATTGATTTCCTTCAATCACTTCAATCAATATGTTTCCGACCATCTGCCAATGGGCTCTCTACTTGTGCTGGGGATGACTTCAATCTTTGGCTGTTTACAACTCTGTTTTAACCTTAACTTTTATTTATGGAAAGGCTCAACAACAGTCAGTGTGAGATGTTATGACATTTTCAAGTCTTTTCTAGGTATGCACACAGACTTTTAATGCAACTTTCTAGATCCCCAGGAATATGTTAGACCTTTTCAAAGTTCCTTATTTTCCTGATATTTAAGGGTTTTGGTGGCTTGCCTCTTATTTGCTTCAACTGGTATCACCACATCAGAAAGCTATGAAAAACAATTGCCTCCAATTGTTTTCAATAAATGCCCTATGAATAGGGCTTCTCAATGCTTGAATTCTGAGTCAGGGCAAGTAAATACTAGCCTCATAAAAGGAGCTTTTCCATGAGGAAAAGCCAAAGAGATCAACTAGTAACAGTTCTATAATGATGAAAATGCTTGATCTCCAAACTCCTTCTTCCCTGTCCTATGTATGCTGGGTTGCTGATTTTCACAGCTGTTACTGTTTTGAGTTTGCTAATTTTTAAGTCTATGGAACTAAGGTGAGAGGAATGAGAATGCAGTTAGTGAAAATGCCATAAAGCTCACTGTTCTTGCCAAGATGTATTCACTTATTTTGAATAAATTGTTCTAGCATTTGTATAAGCCTTTACAAATGTCAAGAGTAATAACAAAGTAGATTTTGACAATTATTTGTCAGTGTTCTAATTTCTTTTAGGGAGGAGTAGGTTTTCAAATGTCCCTATTCCACTATTCGGAAAGTGCTTTCAAGTCTACAACTGCCTTGATACCAGAAATCAAGTTAGATTTATAAAAGGGGTTAATTTTTGGCCTACTCACAAATATCTTTGCTAAATTTTCTGGAAGCAATCATCAAAACATTAAAAAAAGATAATGTCTTTTCTTCTCTGTGATAATCCTATTAGCATACTATGTTTATCTTCTTGCTCAAAATCTGCATACATGTGGAGAATATTCTTAAAAAAATGGACAATACATATTATTCTGCAACTTGAGTGATTTTACATAGAAAGAAATGGGCATTCCTCCATGGATATAAATTTACTTACATATATTGATCTGCTTATCAAACTTATTCTTTAATCACTCTCATAATTGCACAGGATGGATCTGTTATGTCTCCTTCAGACCAGATATTCAGGTTTATAGCATATTTTTTAAACACAAAAAACAAAACAGCAAATAGATTTACATACTGCTGCCTTCATTCCTATAGAGGGAGGTCCATTAGAGAAAACTTAATGAATCAAATGTTTGTGCCAATTTATTTAATAAAAAGCTTCTGAATTTTTACTGTTATGCATATGTGCAGATATTACACTGAAAAAATTGTATCTGTTCCTAAAATAAGTTATCAAATCGTGTATTTGTACCCATTAATCAACTTCTCCTCATTCTTTCCTCCTCTCAAACAGTCTACCTTCTGTTTTCATGAGATCCATTTTTTTCAGCTCTCACATGTGAGTGAGAACATGTGATATTTGTCTTTCTGTGCTTGGCTTATTTTTCTTACCACAGTGACCTTCAGTTCCATCCATGTTGCTGCAAATGACAAAATTTCAGTATTTTTAATGGCAGCATAGTATTCCATTGCATATATACACCACATTTTTTTTCTGTATTTCTTCTAAAAAAAAAAAAAAAAAAACAGGATACATGTGCAGATCGTGCAGGTTTGTTACATAGGTATACCTGTGCCATGGTGGTTTGCTGCACCTACTGGCCCGTCCTCTAAGTTCCCTCCTGTCATCCCACACCCTCCAATAGGCCTTGTTGTGTGTTGTTCCCTTCTCTGTGTCCATGTGTTCTCAAGGTTCAACTCTCACTTATGAATGAGAATATGCTGTGTTTGGTTTTCTGTTCCTGTGTTAGTTGCTGAGGATGATGATGGCTTCTAGTGTCATCCGAGTCCCTGCAAAGACATAATCTCATTCCTTTTTATGGCAGTATAGTGTTGCATGGTGTATATGTACAACATTTCCTTATCCAGTCTATCATTGATGGGCTTTTGGTTGGTTCCATGTCTTTGCTATTGTAAATAGTGCAACAATAAACATATGTCTTCATGTGTCTGTATAGTAGAATGATTTATATTCCTTTGGATATATACCCAGTAATGGGATTGCTGGGTCAAATGGTATTTCTGGTTCTAGATCGTTGAGGAATCACCATACTGTATTCCACGATGGTTGAAATAATTTACATTTCCACAAACAGTGTAAAAGCGTTCCTATTTCCTCACAGCCTTACCAGCATCTATGGTTTCCTGACATTTTAATAATCGCCATTTTTGACTGGTGTGAGATGGTATCTCATTGTGGTTTTGATTTGCATTTCCCTGATGATCAGTGATATTGAGCTTTTTTTCATATGTTCGATGGCCACGTAGATGTCTTCTTTTGAGAAGTGTCTGTTCATATCCTTTCCCCATGTTTTGATGGGGTTGTTTGTTTTTTTCTTGTAAATATGTTTAAGTTCCTTGTAAATTCTGGATATTAGACCTTTCTCAGATGGGTAGATTGCAAAAGTGTTCTCCCATTCTGTAGATTGCCTGTTCACTCTGATGATAATTTCTTTTGCTGTGCAGAAGCTTTTTAGTTAATTAGATCCCATTTGTCAATTTTGGCTCTTGTTGCAATTGCTTTTGGCATTTTTGTCATGTCAATGTCCTGAATGGCATTGCCAGGTTTTCTTCTAGGGTTTTTAAGGTTTTAGGTTTTACATTTAAGTATTTAATCCATCTTCAATTAATTTTTGTGTAAGGTGTGAGGAAGAGGTCCAGTTTCAGTTTTCTGCATATGGCTAGCAAGTTTTCCCAGCACCATTTACTGAATAGGAGATCCTTTCCCCATTGCTGGTTTTTGTCAAATTTGTTGAAGATCAGATGGTTGTAGATGTGTGATGTTATTTCTGAGGTCTCTGTTCTACTTCATAGGTCTATATGTCTGTTTTGGTACCAGTACCTTGCTGTTTTGGTTGCTGTAGTCTTGTAGTATAGTTTGAAGTCAGATAGCATGATGCCTCCAGGTTTGTTCTTTTTGCTTAGGATTGTCTTGGCTATACAGGGTCTTCTTTGATTCCATATGAAATTTAACCTAGTTTTTTCTAATTCTGTGAAGAATGTCAATGGTAGTTTGATGGGAATAACATTGAATCTATAAATTGCTTTGGGGAGTTTGGCCATTTTCACGGTATTGATTCTTCCTATCCATGAGGATGGAATGTTTTTTCCATTTGTTTGTGTCCTCTCATTTCCTTGAGCAGTGCTTTGTAGTCCTCCTTGAGGAGGTCCTTCACATCCCATGTTAGCTGTATTGCTATATATTTTATTCTCTTTTTAGAGATTGTGAATGGGAATTCATTCATGATTTGGCTTTCTGCTTGCCTATTGTTGGGGTAGAGGAATGCTTGTGATTTTTGCACATTGATTTTGTATCCTGAGACTTTGCTGAAGTTGCTTATCAGTTCAAGAAGTTTTTGAGCTGAGATGATGGGGTTTCCTAAATACAAAATCATGTTGTCCGCAAACAGGGACAACTTGACTTCCTCTGTTCCTATTCGAATACTCTTTATTTCTTTCTCTTGCCTGATTTCCCTGGCCAGAACTTCCAATACTATGTTGAATAGGAGTGGTGAGACTGGGCATCCTTGTCTTGCACCAGTTTTTGAAGGGTACTTCCAGCTTTTGCTCATTCAATATGATATTGGCTGTGGGCTTGTCATAAATAGCTTTTATTATTTTGAGATATGTTCCATCAATACCTGGTTTATTGAGAGTTTTTAATATGCAGGGATGTTGAATTTTATCAGAGGCTTTTTCTGCATCTATTGAAATAATCATGGTTTTTGTCATTGGTTCTGTTTATGTGATGGATTGTGTTTATTGATTTGTGTATGTTGAACCAGCTTTGTGTCCCAGAGGTGAAGCTGACTTGATCGTGGTGGATAAGTTGTTTGATGTTCTGCTGGTTTCCGTTTCCCATATTTTATTGAGAATTTTTGCACTGATGTTCATCAGGGATATTGGCCTGAAGTTTTCTTTTTTTGTTATGTGTCTTCCCGGTTTTGGTATCAGGATGATGCTGGCTTCATAAAATGAGTTAGGGAGGAGTCTCTCCTTTTCAATTGTTTTTAAAAGTTTCAGAAGTAATGGTACCAGCTCCTCTTTGTATTTATGGTAGAATTCACCTGTGAATCTGTCTGGTCCTAGGCTTTTTTTCGTTGGTAGGCTATTCATTACTGCCTCTGTTTCAGAGCTTGTTATTGGTTTATTCAGGAATTTGACTTCTTCCTGGTTTAATCTTGGTAGGGTGTATGCATCCAGGAATTTATCCATTTCTTCTAGATTTTCTAGTTTATTTGCATAGAGGTGTTTACAGCATTCTCTGATGGTAGCCTGTATTTCTGTGGGGTCAGTGGTGGTATCCCCTTTATCATTTTTTATTGTGTCTGTCTGATGCTTCTCTCTTCTTCTTCTTTATTAGTCTAGCTGGCAGTCCATCCATTTTGTTAAGTTTTTTCAGAAAACCTGCTCCTGGACTCATTGATTTTTTGGAGGGCTTTTTGTGTCTTTATCTCCTTCAGTTCTTCTCTGATCTTAGTTATTCCTTGTCTTCTGCTGGCTTTTGGATTAGTTTGCTCTTGCCTCTCTAGATTTTTGAATTCTGATGTTAAGTTGTCGATATGAGATCTTCCTAGCTTTCTAATATGGGCATTTACTGCTATATATTTCCCTCTTAACACTGCTTTAACTGTGTCCCAGAGATTCTGGTATGTTGTCTCTTTGTTCTCATTGGTTTCAAAGAACTTCTTGATTTCTGCCTTAATTTCATTATTTACCCAGGAGTCATTCAGGAGCAGGATATTCAATTTCCATGAAATTGTGTGGTTTTGAGTGAGTTTCTTTTCTTTTCTTTTTTTTTTTTTTTTTTTTGAGATGGAGTCTCACTCTGTCACCCAGACTGGAGTGCAGTGGCACAATTGGTTTTGAGTGAGTTTCTTAATCCTGAGTTCTAATTTGATTGCACTGTGGTCTGAGAGACTTATGATTTCCATTCTTTTGCATTTGCTGAGGAGTGTTTTACTTCCAATTATGTGGTCGATTTTAGAATAAGTGCCATGTGGCACTGAGAAGAATATATATTCTGTTGATTTGGGGTAGAGAGTTCTGTAGACATCTACTAGGTCCACTTGATCCAGAGCTGAGTTCAAGTCATGAATATCCTTGTTAATTTTCTGTCTCATTGATCCATCTAATACTGACATTGGGGTGTTAAAGTCTCCCACTAGTATTGTGTGGGAGTCTAGGTCTCTTTGTAGGTGTCTAAGAACTTGTTTTATGAATCTGGGTGCTCCTGTATTGGGTACATACATATTTAGAACAGTTAGCTCTTCTCATTGAATTATTCCCTATACCATGACATAATGCCCTTCTCTGTCTTTTTTATCTTTGTTGGCTGAAAGTGTTTTGTCAGAGGCTAGGATTGCAACTCCTGCTTTTTTTTGCTTTCCATTTGCTTGGTAAATTTTCCTCTATCCCTTTATTTTGAGCCTGTGTGTGCCTTTGCATGTAAGGTGGGTCTTCTGAAAACAGTACACCAATGGGTCTTGACTCCTTATCCAATTTGCTGGTCTGTGTCTTTTAAGTTTTGGCATTTAGCCCATTTATATTTAAGGTTAGTACTGTTATGTGTGAATTTGATCCTGTCATCATGCTGCTATTTGGTTATTTTGCACACTAGTAGATGCAGTTTCTCCATAATGTCATTGGTTTTTACATTTTGGTGTGTTTTTGCAGTGGCTGGTACCAGTTTTTCCTTTCTGTATTTAGTGCTTCTTTCAGGAACCCCTGCAGGGCAGTCCTGGTGGTAACAAAATCCCTCAGGATTTGCTTGTCTGGAAAGGATTTTATTTCTCCTTCGCTTATGAAGCTTAGTTTTGCTGGATATGAAATTCTGGGTTGAAAATTATTTTCTTTAAGAGTGCTAAATATTGGCCCCCAATCTCTTCTGGCTTATAGAGTTTCTGCTGAGAGGTTCACTGTTAGTCTGATGGGCTTCCCTTTGTAGATGATCTGGCCTTTCCCTCTGGCTGCCCTTAACAGTTTTTCCTTCATTTTAACCTTGGAGAATCTGACGATTATGTGTCTTGGGGTTGATCTTCTCATAGAGTATCTTAGTGGTGTTCTCTGTATTTCCTGAATTTTCATGTTGGCCTGTCTTTCTAGGTTGGGGAAGTTCTCTTGAATAATATCCCAAAGTGTGTTTTCCAGTTTGTTTCCATTCTCCCTTCTCCTTCTGGTACTCCAATCAATCATAGGTTTGGTCTTTTCACATAGTCCCATATTTCTTGGAGGCTTTTTTCATTCCTTTCCATTCTTTTTTCTCTATTCTTGTCTGCATGTCTTATTTCAGTAAGGTGGTCTTCAAACTCTTATATCCTTTCTTCTGCTTGGTCGATTTGGCTGTTGATACTTATGTATGCTTCATGAAGTTCTTGTGCTGTGTTTTTCGGCTTCATCAGGTCATTTATGTTCCTCTCTAAACAGGTTATTCTAGTTAGCAATTCCTCTAACCTTTTATGAAGTTTCTTAGCTTCTTTGCATTGTGTTAGAACATGCTGCTTTAGCTCATCATAGTTTTTTACTACCCATCTTCTAAAGCCTACTTCTGTCAATTCATCCATCTGATTCTCTGTTCACTTCTGTGCCCTTGATGGAGAGATGTTGCGATCATTTGGAGGAGAGACACTTTGGCCTTTTGGGTTTTTGGCATTTATACATTGATTCTTTCTCATCTTCGTGAATTTGTCTACTTTTGGTCTTTGAGGTTGCTGATCCTTGGATGGGGTTTTTGTGGGGGCTTTTTGTTGTTGTTGTTGATGATGCTATTGTTGTTGCTTTCTTCTGGTTTGTTGTTCTTTCAGTAGTCAGGTCCCTCTTCTATAGGGCTGCTGCAGTTTGCTGGGGGCTCACTTCAGGCTCTATTCAGCTGATTTGCTCCCGTGCCTGGAGACGTCACTGAAGGAGCCTGGTGAACAGCAAAGATGGGTACCTTTTCCTTCCTCTGGGACCTCTGACCTCGAGGGGCACCAACCTGATGCCAGTAGGATCACTCCTGAATAGGGTGTCCGACAAACCCTGTTGGAGGGTCTCACCCAGTTGGGTAGGATGGGGAACAGGACCCATTTTACAAAACACTTTGTCCTTTGGTGGAGAGAGTGTGCTTCACTGGGGGGAAACCCACTCTTCTGGGCTGCCCAGATTCCTCAGAACTACCAGGAGGTGAGGCTAAGTCTGCTGCTTTGCAGAGACTGTGGCCATTCCTCCCTTTAGGGGCTCAGGCCCAGGGAGATCCAAAACCTGTCCCTGAGCCTCTGGCTGGAGTTATTGGAGGTCCTGCAAGGAAGCCCAGCCCACTGAGGAAGGATGGGTCAGGGTTAGGCCTGAAGAGGCCCTCTGGCCACAGACTGCCACAGCCAGTGTGTTGGGCTGTGGGGACAAGTCTTGGGACCAAACCTTCCAGCCTTTCTGGCTCCAGCAGGTGAAAAGTGCAGCCTGGAGCTGTAGAAATGGGTGCTGCCCTTCCCCCACCCAGGGAGCTTAGTGTGTTAGGCAGTTGCAAGTCCCAGTGCTGGCTGCCCCTTCCCCAAGGAGCTTAAACCACTTAGACAACAGGCAGCTGCAGTTGGTGCTGGTCACCCCTCACCCCAGGAAGTCATTAGGATTAAGCAGATTCCAGCTGAGAGGCTGTAACAATCTGCGCTTTCTGGGGTTGGGATGCTAGGCCCTTGGTGGCATGGGTTCATGAGTGGGATCTTCCCTTCCATGGGTTGCACAGTTCCGTGAAAAAAGCAGATTGCCCGGCTGAGTAGCACGCTCACTCACCACCTCCCTTGGCTGGGGGGAGGGGGTTCTTCTTTCCCATGTGGCTTTCAGGTGGGCCACCACACCACACTGCTCTTCCTTCTCTTCATGAGTAGGAAATAGACTAGCCTTCTAGACAATTTTGATGACAGAACTTGGATACCTTTGTTGCTGGTGATGGATTCACATGCTTATTATGTTTTTTTTTTTTTCATATGAGTCTCTGAATGCCAGTCCTTCTAGTCGGCCACCTTGGTCCTGACCCTAAATTATTACTTTCTGTACATTAACTTCTACTATACCTTTGTGTTTATTTATGAAATGCTTACTTGTTTCTTAGGGCTTATTTGTCCAATTCTAGGTCAATATACTATTATTTGTAATGTTTTAAAGTCAAGAAAGAGTGTTTCTCATCTTTTTCTCCAGCATTTTTTTAGTTCTTAGATATCTGTTCTACCATATCACACCAAAGTCATTTGCTGGGTTTTTGTAAAATCAAGATTTTGTTTGAAATTGTATTAAATGCATATATTAGTTGTGAAAATAATTCATTTATAAATATATGATATCTCCTGCATGAGCACAGGATATTCTCTGTTTGTTTGTGGTTCTTTTATGTAATTTTCAATAAATTTTATACTTTAAAACAAATTATGACCTTCAACTATTTTATTAAATGTGTCTTTCTTTCTTCTTTTGAGAGGGGGACAATGATGATAAGCAAAAATTGCCCCCATATGTATAACTTACATGTTTTATTAAATTACCTTAGGATTTTTTAACTCTTTAGTAATTTCTAGGGTTTTTCAAAGTGTATCATCATAATATCTGTAGAGTTTACTTTTATGTTTCTTATGGAAAATTGATATTTATTACTTAATTTACATATCCTATTACATTAGTTAAATCATTAAAGCAATTCTGAGTAATTGTGAATGGGAAGTCCTGATTTCTATTTTACTTTTTAAAATTAATTAATTAATTAGTTATATATTTAATGTTGTGTTCTTGGAATAAAATTAATTTGGTCATGGTGTTTTATTCTTGTAATACACTACTGGATTCACTTTGCTAGTATTTCACTTTCAATTTTATATCCATGTATAAAAGTAGTATGTATATCATGTTTTTATGGTATTATGTTTATTAGCTTTAGCTATTGATAGGTTTTATTGTTGTTACTTTAGCTAATAATATGTTTTGTTGTTGCTTTGTTTTGTTTTAGGTTTCATAAAATAAGTTTTAGAACATTGTACGTTATTCAGCTGTTTAATATTATTGATGTAAAATAGGTATAATCTCTTATATTAAGGTAAGTAGAGCATATCTGGAAAGCCATGTGGGCATTAGGACATTTTCTAATGGCAGATTATGTTTCCCATCTTTTCTATGATCACTGGACTCTACAGGTTCTCTATATTTTGGTATTTAATTTGAGAACATGATTTTCTGTTGAAAATCATCCTTTCTCTAGATTTGTATTATTTTCATTACCAAATTTGCCCATATTTTTTGAAATTTTTGTAAATATCTCCTCTGTGTACATACTTACATCTCATTTATTATATATAATGTACATTTTTACTTCTCTCATTTAAAAAAAAAATCCTTTCTACTAGTTTGCCTGTTTGATTTTTTTTTTTTTTGAACAGCCTTCTTTTAGTTTTATTTATATGTATGCTATACTTTTGGGCTTTTTGCTTCATTAATGATAGTTTTTTACTTCTTTAATTCTCCATCCTGTTATTTTGGTTGATTTTGATGTTTCCTGTGTCTCGGAGGCTTTGCAGTGAAACTTGATTGTTAATGTAATTGAGATTCAGAAGCTATGAGATGTGGCTAATATCTTATCTGTAACATTGCTTAAACATGACTTTGTGGAACTCTTGTGGAGATGGTAACTTTTTCCTGAATGCTTGAATCAGCTTTGAACTATGCAATCAATTTACCTGTAATCCAGGAGGCTGCAAGAAGATAGGTCCCATGGTAAATGATTGCAATTCTTTTATCTGGATTCATAAAAATCATCTGCTAAACACTTAAGACATTATATTATATTAGCTTACATTAAGTACTCTGCTTTTTCATATTGCCTCACACTAATTATTATGCTTTGGTTGCAAATGTATTTTAAATCTTAAGAGCAATCCAAATGGCAGTTTTATTGTTTACTGTGGTCCTTGCTGACTATAGTAAATTGTTTGCTGACTCAGCTTAAATTTAGAAAATGTGCACATATTTTGGATTTCTTCCCAGAAATGAATGTGGCTATAGGTAATATAAATACATAACAAATCCCCTTGGATTTAGAAATTTGTGGAATTTCCTTTGGCATTGCAGATTAGCAGTTAATCCTTCTTTCTTAGCTAGGTTTAAATATTGGAGCAATTTGTAGACTCTTAGAAGTAATAGTTTTATCTGGACACTGATTATTTTGCTGGAAAGCAAGAAATCAGGTCCACACGAAGAATACCAAGGAGAGAAACATATGTTAACTTTAAAAAACAAACAAAAAATGTCAATTTGTATATTGGTATTCAAGTGGGAGCGATAAACCATTAATACACATATAAGGGATTTCGGAGAAAATGTTTTGGTAGCAGATTTCTGTCCTTGGCATCTGTGATGGAGGGAGGATGATTTGCGAGTCAACTGTACTGCGGTAGAAACAACATTGGGTTTCATGTTAGTACATGTAGTTTCAAATCCGGGGTCTGCTATTCACTGTTTCCATGAATTTGATAGTCACTTTCATTCGGAAACTTCATTTTCACATGCATAAAAAGTTGTATAAATATCAGTACTTTGTACAAGAGGCCAATTCAATGACTGTCCTGGTTTTGCAGGGAAAATGAACCGGCCCGCACAGCGATGAGAGAGTGCTGTAGTAACATGGGCATTGGAAGAGGATCCCCGCAAATCTTTAAGAAGAGGGACAAAATTGGTTCCTAGATGGGGAAAACCAAGGGTGGTGTATTAATAACAGATGAAAATAAGGAAAAGAATTAAATTACTTTGAAAATTCTGAGGGAAAGGGAATCTTCACCACATCATCAGAATCACACACAGCCTGCTGTGGTGACCAATCACCAGTCAGATCACCAGGAGGCTCTCTTACTAAACGTTGAGGATATTTGCAAGTTTTAGTCCATAATGCCTGGCATCCGAGTAGAGACTCTTGTCCCTTACAATTTTACTTTCTTTCCAGAGCTTGATAATTTAGTTCTGATACCTATTATTGTGGGATTGCTGTTGTACTGTAGGCAAATGACTCACTTCCTCAAGTTCGAATTTCTTCATTTTTACAGAGATGGTGATGATGCCTTGTTGTTAGAGTGAGAATGGTAGGATATAATGTGTGTTTACATTCACTGACCTGGTCCCTTGCCTAGCATTAATTAATGATTGATGCATGTGAATTACCTTTCCTTCTGACTACTTGATATGTTTCATTAGGCATTCATTCAATTAATAGTCATTGATTCTGACTCTATGCTAGAGACACTACTCAGTGTTACACGTGAAACAAGATTCCTAGTCCCAGCATAATGGAGCTTGCGAATGAAAGAGGGAGATAGATATTAAATCAGTCATGCCAGTAAACATAATTATAAATTGTAAGGTGGAATTTGAAGGACTCATAGAAAGTTCTTTGGCCTGGTTAAAGACGCATTCACAGAGAAATGGCAATTAACTGGGATCTCCAATGTCAGTAAGAGTTAATAAGGCAAAGGATGGGTTTAGTGAGAAGGAGATCCACGTGGAAGCATAACATGGGCAAAGTACTAGCTTCAAGAAGGCTTATGGAACATTTGAGCAAATAAGGAAACAGCAGGGTGGCTGGAGTTCAGAGAGGAATTGGGAGATGGTGCAGCACAGTCTCCATGCCCTTCTGCTTCTGCTTTACTTTTAAGGCTCAGTGTTACCTATGGAAAGAAAAATAGTCAGAGTCTACACATTTATCAAATTCATCAGCCAGAAATCTTATCAGAAACAAAAAGTAAAGCCTTCAGGTGAGGACTATTGAGCACCAAAGATCTTATTTCTGTGTGGATTTTTTTTTTTTTTTTTTTTTTTTTTTTTTTAGTGAAATAAGATACATCGAGGAGGCAGGTGCATAGAAGTCACTTGGAAGTGACTTCTAACAGGCCTGTTATGCCAGCTGGTTTTTGGTGTTGTAGGCTGAACGTGAAGTTGATATAATTGGGCTCAGTATGTGTCTTTCCTTAGAGGGAGACAGCCGCTAGAATAATAAATCAGCAGTGGAACTTTCAATAGATACTTCTGGAATGTCTTTGACTTTTACATACCTCTCTTGGCATTTAGATTTGAATCTGATTTTCAGAGAAGAAAGGGTTATAGATCACAATCTGAGTCTTCAACAGCATATTTGTAGACCTTAGAGGAGTAAGAAAGAAGGGGAGAGGGAGAGAAAAAAGCCCTGGGACAACTTCTGTGATGTTAGGATCCAGGGGATGCACTTGGTTTTTTTCTCCATTGTGATATCCCACTTGACACATCACGATTACAAATGATGAGTAGCCTAGGACAAAACCACCAGCTTCGGTAATTTGAGTTATCACTCATGTAATAAATATTTATTGGACACCTGTATTGTTCTAGATGGTAAAAAAAATAAAAAATAATTATGTTTCTTTCAAGCACTTCATAGTCCTTTTGGGCGCTAGACATGTGGACAATTACAATAATGCAGATTAACTTTTTTAAGAACACACAGTTTCATGCAGTTTGTTAAATTATTTTGACCAAATATCTCATCAATCCTTTTACAACCATTTTTTTCATATGGGACAACCAAGACTTCAAGAACTCTAGTAATTTGGCAAGTACCCATAGTTTCTAAGTGACACAGCTAGGATTAAATCCAGTTTCCTCTTCTGTACAGATCATCCTCCTAATCACTGTTATATATTATTCCAACAAAATGTGTCAATCAAAGTATATGCAAAATGCCAAGGGAGCATCTAGGAGGGATTATGTGATTCTGACTGAAATAACTGAGGAAAGTTTTAAAGAAGAGGCAATATCTGTGCTCTAGCTCAATGCTCTTGATCTGGGCCAGTTGTCTTCAAACCCTGGAAACTCACTATGATGTGATAAACACAGAGTTCCTCCATAGTGCTTTCATTATGAAGAAATGTAAGAGGTGAACTGGTCACCTATGGGGATAATAGGGAACACAGCCGTTATCATAAATACTGGGAAATAAAAGGAAAGCAATAATTTGCACTTTTCTATATCAAAGTATCCCAGCTAATAAATGAAAGAAGAAATGATAAGACTATCAACATTTGGCAGTCCTTCTCCAGCAATAAATTAACATGTTCATTCTCTTAAAAAAAATTTGTTGTTTGTTTGTTTTTGTTTTTGAGATGGAGCCTTGCTCTATCGCCCAGGCTGGAGTGCAGTGGCACAATATCAGCTCACTGTAACCTCCGCCTTTTGGGTTCAAGTTATTCTCCTTTCTCAGCCTCCTGAGTAGCAGGGATTACAGGTTCGTGCCACCACGTCCAGCTAATTTTTGTATTTTTAGTAGAGACGGGGTTTCACCATGTTGACCAGGCTGGTCTTGAACTCCTGACCTTAGGTGATCCACCCACCTTGGCCTCCCAAAGTGCTGGGATGACAGGCACAAGCAACCACCCCCAGCCCAAAAAATTATTCTAATGTGACTAAAGAAAAGAAGAAGTTGGGATAATTCATGAGCTGCATTCTATACACAGAATGAGACAAACAATTGATAAATAAATAATATATAATTTAACTTGTGACTAGTGCTGCAATGAAGATGCACTGATAGAAAATACTAAGGTGGAGGGGGGAAAATGAGGGGAGGGCCTTCTTGATTAGAGCTAGACAGGACCAATGAAAAGGCATTAGACATGTAGAGCTACTAGAAGTTTCCAAAGCAGAGGGAAAGACAGGTGTGAAAGCTCCAAGGCAAATTCAGGACATAGGAACAGAAAAGTTTTCATTGAAACTATATTATGAGAAGCCCATAAAAAACAATTGGAAGATTGCCTCTATTTTCAGGTATCTTGGCTCATTTTCCCTTCCAAATGTTTACAATAAAGAGTGCTACAGGTCAAATCCTTGACTGATGTTATTATCAGATTCTTTGTAAAATTACTTAATACAGAACCAACAAAGATGGATTTGCATAAGCAGTGATCTGAATGCACGTAACATGTGAAAGAATAAATGCTATAACAGGCTGATCAAATATTTAAGGAAAATAAGGTTTAATTTAGTTTCAAAAGCCATGCTACAGAGACAGTTGAGATGCTAATTAATATCCTCTGTCTAACTCCAGCACACAAAGCATTTGGAAGGTCTAAGGTTCTTCTTTTCTTAAGCAATTTCTTCATAGAGGCTGTCCCCATGCCAGTTTTTTTTTTTTTGTACCCTATAACTTCTCCCAGAATGACATAGTTAAATCCCATTATTTGAGCTGCCTTGGCAGATGACTCCCAAACTGTATGTATCCCTTCTAGATACACACCAGGGTGGTCAGCCCAAGTACCCACAAGGACATAAACATTTGAAGGACACAGTAGAAAATTAGAGTATTGTGGATGTCATTCCTCACCTAAAGGCCTTGGCAATTATCTATTTAACGGATCTGTTTTTTCCTGTGCTGGACAAATAGGACATAGCTTTAAGTTTTCCTTAACAGCAGGATGTTAGCATGTCACTTCTATCCTAGGTTCATCTAGAGAAGGATGTAATAAGCATGCCTTCTTAGGGGCTCTCTGTGTCTAAAATGAAATTTTCTGATTAAATGCCTTTCTCCCACTGTTTCCCTTAGCTTGCTGGTTGGTGTAGTTATCCAAGTACTTTCTCCCGCTAAAAACTTGGGAAATAATTTGGATTTTCCTCTCCTCTCCACCTGTCATACCACTCAAACAGCAAGACTTACTGATTCTATACCCTAAACATGTGCCTGGGAGCCAGGTCCTTTTCTCCTCTCTGTTGTATTCCAGTAAAATCACTCCCAAACTTGTATAACTCTGTTTCACTGATTTGGGTCTTTCTATTTCATTCTCCAGAAGGCCACCAGCCTGAATTTATTAAAAGTCTCATTTCATTACACTGGGTAAAGGCTTCTACTGAGTGCAGAACCAGTTTATTCTTAGCTTTACATTCAGGCTACTTTACTATCTGGCCTCAACATACCTAACTCTAATGTGCTTCTTTGGCCATCAACACTCAGATACTTAAATGGGGATTAATATCCTTTCTCAAATTATCTGCATTCCTAAGACCACACCCTCACTTGTGATACCAAGTGATCACTATCAGAGGCTGCCATTTTCCCCAACTACCTCCTACTTATTTGTTCATGACCCAGCTTAATGTCAGAATATCCAAGGAAACTCCCTTCACATTTCAGGCTGATAAGGTCACTTCCCTGTGCTGTGAATGTTCTTTATCTGCTTTGGCATCTTTCTCACAGGATCATGCACTTTGTTCCAAAATGGAAGAAACTGTGGACTTTAAACTCACGCAGTATTGGCACAAAGTAGGTGTTTAATAATTATGTAAAGGAATATAAATCATTCTATTATAAAGATACATGCACAGATATGTTCATTGCAGCACTGTTCACAATAGCAAAGACATGGGATCAACCCAAATGCTCATCAATGATAGACTGGATAAAGAAAATGTGGTACATATACACCATGGAATACTACACAGCCATAAAAAGGAATGAGATCATGTCCTTTACAAGGAGAGGGATAGAGCTGGAAGCCATTATCCTCAGCAAACTAATGCAAAAACAGAAAAACAAACACCACATGTTCTCACTTATAAGTGGGAGCTGAACGATGCGAACACATGGACACATTGGGGAGAACAACACAGACTGGATCCTGTCACGGGGAGGGAGTACGGAGAGGTAAAGAACCAGGAAAAATAGCCAATGGATGCTTGGCTTAATTCCTGGGTGATGGGCTGATCTGTGCAGTAAACCACCATGGTACACATTTATCTATGTTACAAACCTGCACATCCTGCGCAAGTACTCTGGAACTTAAACGTTGAAGAAAAAAAATTCAAAACTGCTTCCCGCAATGTCCCCTGCCCCCATGCCTGAAAACCTTGTAAGATTTTGGTTCTGAATTGGAAATCGTATTTCTTTAAGAAGGCAGATTTCTTATTCCTCAGGAATCTATATACCTGCTCCCAGAAACAGTAGATGGTATGTCATTAGACAGAACCTCCCCTGAGGGCATCCCTAGAATGCCAGAAAAATGGATCAAGAGGAGACAGTAATTAGGAGTTTTCTAATAGGAGAAGAAGAAAGACAGGAATCTGAAACAAAACTTGTTTACCAGGGCTGTTGTTGCCACTGCAAACTGTGCAAGAAAACAACAATGTCTCAAATGCTACTCTCTAGGAATGGAGACAGTGGGCAGAAATGGATGCTTCTCCCAAATTATGGTAAATGCAGAGTGCCAAAACGAGCTTCTTTCTTTCTGAGAATGTTCTTCTATTTGAATTTAAGCTTATAGGCCACGGAGTGCAGGCAACCAGCAGTCGGGGAGGCCAGGCACAGTGGCCCATGCCTGTAGTTCCAGCACTTTGGGAGCTGAGGCAGGAGGATCTCTTGAGTCCAGGAGTTTCAGACCAGCCTGGACAACATAGTGAGGCCCCATCCCTAAAAAAATTAATAAATAAGAAAAAAAATTATCATTGAAAGAATGAGTTAATGAATTAATCAGTGCATATATGTTCTCCAAAATTTCACTCACACTTTAAATGTTGCTTTTCTAAGTCAGTATGCTTCCTGATTTTACATGTATTTATTCTTCCTACCTACTCCTTCCACCCCCAGATGCACACACACTTACCTATGGCTTTCAGCCATTTCATATTAGGGAATTTGCCTCATTGTTGTATTCTATGTAACAACTAGCAGAGTTGCATTCCTCTCTTAAGTAGTTTTTGGTTTGAAAATTGCAAAAGTATTACTGAACTTTGGAGGTGTTCAGAAACTGTATGTCGGAAGAGCTTGAGGCTCCTCTGCATGTGGTATTCTAGTGGATGGGGAATTTTTCAATGAATATACAAAATCTCCAAGGCCTTCTGCTGTGTAAAATATAAATAGCTGCTCTTGATGTTCACACTCATTCCTACACACCTTCAACTGGTGCAAGACTTATCCTTTAGAGACCTCCTTTCACTAGATACAGTTCCGTTACGCCTTTTAAATGTTGAGTGATGACAAAATAGGACTTATTGGAGGGGTAAATGAGGGATGGTGACGAGAACATTGATTTTAGTCCCAAATAGAGGAAGCATTCAAAAATTATCTAGTTTCCCCAAGAAATGTGCATCCCTAAGAAATACAGTGCTGCGGATAATTTCCAGTCAGTGTCTGGAGGATATCTTCAGCCATTAGAATCATAATCTACTATTAGAAACAGGTATTCAATTTTACTAGGGAAATGTATAATGTGCTCCACTTGTGATTTTTCTGGAGAGGAATGTCAAATTTGTATTTTGCCTATGGCAGCCCCCACCCGCTTTACAGCATCTAGAAAAATTGGGATTTAACAAGGAAGAAAACACTAGGGAAAAGAAATCATGTTTGCACTGCTTAAGATATGGATTTAAAAATATGTATTTTAAACAATTTTACTTATGAAGTTCTCTGCATACATTTACAGAGTATTTTCTATGAACCAGGAACCGAGCATGTGGTGGATAGTTAGGCATGGTCTCTGCTTTTCAAGGGCTCATATCTTATTAATATACTTTTGTGGATGTAACAGATTTAATTTTTAATGAACATAAACATAGGGATATCAAATTTGTGTTCAAAACATCTAAATCTCAATTCTCTCCCACAAATGGCTGCTTCTTTCCCCAGCTCCCCTGTATTAGAATGCTCTCACCTCCATATCACCAAGGAGATTTCTTTCTGGATCTTGTTATTGATAATGATTTTATAAAAAGTTTTTGTTCAACTTTTATTGCACTTAATTACTGATTTGGTGAATTCGTATACATATATATTCATGTTTATATATTCATGCATACATAATTGTCTATAATTCAGCAATTATGTGTATATATATATTTATTTATTTGTATAACATTGACTATCCCATTTGTACCCTCAAAGTAACTGAAAACTCTATTATAAACTCCAGTGCCTGCTCTGAAAGTTAACTGTCAAGTCTTAGCTCTGCAATTTCTCAAGAGTAACATAACTCCTTCTCTCATTCATTGCATATTATCTTTTACACTGAATGAATAGGGGAAATAGCAAGAAAAGGAGAAGCACTGGAATGAATGCAGCAGCCATCAGGCCCTTTATTCTGTTCCTCAAGCAAAGACTCTTTCTGCGAGCCTAGGGCAGGTCCGAAAGAGATGGAGCTATCTGAACCACGTGGGGCCATTTGGAACAAGGCTTCCAGATGATGCAGTGAGCTAAGGTGAGGCAGCAGTCAGCTTCCCTGGTAGTAGAGGAAGTTTTCTCAGAAGAGATGCAAGTTAAACAGGGGTCCAACAAAGGAAGAATGTCTAGTGGACATTTTGCAAAACATAAAGTCAGCTGACAGATATCTGGAAGAGCCTGTGAGATCTTCAGAAGAAAGGCCAGGTTTTTTGTTATCCTTGCACTCATGCACTGGCATGAGGCCCAGCCTGAATGAAAGATAGAACTCATTTTTCAAGATGAAATCATCTTTGCATTTGCCTTAGCTTGCGGCTGGTCTGGCTTCTGAGATTGCTGTAGGTACTGAGGAAGAAAAGGAAAGAATTCATAATCACAATCAATAACAGAGAACGAATAACTTGAAGTCTATGATGAGTCAATCTGTGTATGCATTCATGCATTCTTGCATTTGTCTCTACTAAGATGAACTTAAATGCCCCCAAGAGACACATTCCCAGGGACTCACATCTTCAGCACATCAGGACCTCCTCACATGGGGCCACATCAAGCATATGTGTGGTCGCAGGCTGTCATTCCCTACTCAACGTCTTTCAGGGTAGAAACAGCTCCACTTACTCCAATCATATACGTTTTTTTGAGCAACCTGTCTGTATCAAGGGCAGTGTAAAGAGTGAAGATCAAAACAATAACTCATTCAGGGCTGTAAGAACTCACAGTCTGATGGGAGAGAGATAGCAGAAGACTATGGGTGACATGATACACTCTTCTCCTCCATAACAAGACACTAGCCATGGGTTTGGAAAGAAGCTCTATAAAAGTGGTTTCTGTGGATTTTGTTTGTTTGTTTTTAAGCAGTATTTCTGCAAGAGGATGCATGACAGAGTGGAGTGGTCTGTAGAAAAATAAGTTTGAGATATGCTTTTACTTTTATACATCAAGTTCAACATTTCCCTCTCTGGTAAATTTTTATAAAATGGATTAGCACACTACAAGTTCTCATAAATCCTGCAGTGAAGAAACCTACTTGTTTTGTTTAAGTTAGGATTTAATTACCCCCATGGGCCTCTCTTTGGGGAATGCTGCTTTATATCTTCCAGACGGCTTCCCTGAGTTATTGTGGGTGCCTATAGGCCTGGTGAGCACAGATAAGACCTGCAATAGAACCCATACCATCAGAGCACTTGAGGATGGATAAACCTTTGGTCTCATTCTGGCTAATCTTCTAGCAAGTCAAGCAGTTAAAAACCCTGAAGACTGGCCTTAGCAGCTGGTCACTCAGCTTCTCCTTGGTGGGAAAACTCATGCTTTATATAATAAACCAAAATCTACAACTTTTGACTGCTCTTTTTGATGTTGTGTTCTGAAGAAATCTGCCTACACCCTCTTCTGGAGCAGATTTGAAAGCATCCCTCAAATCTCTTGTTGCCAAAGCTTCTCAGAAATTTGACTCTTCAAACCCAAAGCCACTCTCTAGTCAAACTCTTCTCATCCTCTGCTCAGGTGGATTTTTAAAAAAGGCACTTTAAATACGTTTATTGATTGCATAATTAGTGTGGATTTAACTTGGTCAACACAAAATCATTTATCAAGTTCAACACTGACATTTTTATTTTGGTAAATCTTATTGAATCCAACAAAAATTTCCATGTAATGGACAGCCTAATAAAATACTCAACAGTTGCCCTGCCACAACTGAAGGCTTTGTTTTCCATAGTCATTCTCTATTAGTGAGTGTTTCTCTCTGTTTATATGTTTTCCCTAGTGTTTAACTCAACATCATTTAATCACTAAATTGGTATCACAGGTATTTTTCTAAATTAAAAGCCTTATCATCTACGTTAACTGCTTGGCTACTGAAGAGTTGCTTCTTCCTGATACAAAAAAGAATAGCAATATAATAGTAAGCAGTTCTGTCCCTCTGTAATACCTATGTGTGCCAGATGGTGGTCTAGGTGCTGTAAACAATTCAACTTATACACACCTCAAGACAACTCTAGAGGAAGATGAAATTATTTTTCCCATTTTATAATTAGAAACTGAAATGCAGGGAACTTAAATAACTCATCTAGATGACTCAAATTAGCATATCTAGTTGGAGCTTGAATTTGAACCCAAGCAGTCTTCCTTCAGAGTCCACACTCGTAAGGATTATATTATATGACTTGTCTCAGTTGAATTAGTACAGATTTGATCCTAGAAGGCCTCCAGTACAATTGATTTGGCTGTCAAATATTTAAAGAATTGAAGAATCACCTGTGACCATGATGAATAGGGAGAATTCATGTAGGTAAATATTAACATTAGAAAATTTATCTGATAAATGCAAGAAATTTAGCAAAACCCAGGAGTGATGGTGTGGGGAGCTTGGGTGTTTGTTTCCCATTTCACAAAACAAAGCAGCCAACCTTACATTCATCTCAACAAGTAGTTTATTTAACTTCTCAGAGGAAGAGCAGCAAATGTAAATAAAATCAATAACAGCGACTGAAAAATCTTAACAGGGAATGTATATCAGCTTTCCTCTGTGTGCCTCTGCTTGTCTATTTTATTCAAGATACTGAATACATGATTTCTCATTTGGGTTTCTGTGCTGTACTAGGCTTCAGCAATATATGCATCAAACATTTTGAAAGTCTGCCCCAAGAGGCAAAAAGACCATGTGAATTATACATTGCCTCACAGAGTGATGATACTGTAGACCTACTTGCATGTTTGTTTTTGAAGAATTTCATCCAGGATAAAAAAAGAGAAATATAGTTGAAAGGGTTCTATAGGTTTGACAATTCAAAATAAAAAAATGTTATCTCTATGGAAAGTCATAGTGGTTAAGTAGGATTCATATCTCTTCTATTTGGAATCCAGCATGGCCTCTTCTATTGTTTTGTCTGCCAGACTGTGAGTGTCCCCAGATCTATGATATTTTGCAAAAGCTGAGTTGTTATCTTAGCTGATGTCTAATAACCCTATTTATGGCACAGCCATGTTGGAAATAATCATTAGTATTCTTAGCCTTGTTCTATAAACTCATAATGATGTGTTTCATTGTTTGTGGTGTTAGCCTTGGGCTGTTAGACACAATTCTGTTTACGACTATGAAGTCAGACTGTCCATCCAGAACATGACGGATTATGTATTCACTACATCTGCTGAATCAGCTGTGTCTGTGCAGTGAATACCACATCCTCATTTTCAGAACTCCATGAGCTTTCAGGTAAAAATCTATAAGATTTACCTTGTAATGTATAGAACACAATTTATTTCATTTTCTTCCGTTAAATTTATTCCTTGTGGTTTCTGTTATCCATAGCTTGTAGTTTGCATTACAAGTTGAAATTCCTTTTTGTTTTTGCTGTGGTATAATATCCATGTGAGAATCGTCTTTCTTCATCTCAGATAGAGAAATACAAACCACCCTTTTACTCATTCACTGAGAGACTGAACTAGCACATTTTTATAAAACTGGATCAAAATGTGCTTGTGATCAGCTGTCATCTTGTGGAGTTTCCTTTTTTTTTTCTTGCCACAATTGGAGTTCTAAACCCCTTATAATAAGCACATATATTAGATATAGTCATGTGTTGATTCAATAACCTGATTTCTTCCCTCCTTTGGCTTTATCACATTTGTCATATAACTGTCAAGTCTCCCTGAGTATTTGCCCAACATCCATTGAGCACATGGCAAGGAGAAAATGTGGAGGATTTTATGGAGATGGTTTGAAAGGGGATTCCCATGCCTTCTGTCCACGTTTCTGTGGCCAACAGTCAGTCACATGATCCCACTTAGATGCAAGGGGTTCTATATAATGTAGTCCCTGGCTCAGGGGATGCCCCAGAGACAGTTCTATACTCTAAAAGAGGAGTATGAATCCTTAGTAGACAGTTTTCCAACTGTACCACTCTGTGTGATCTTAGAAGACTTTCTGAGCCTGTTTTCTTATATTTTAAATGAAGAGAACTTAACTACCTTACAGATTATTATTATTATTATATGGGATTATATACACAAAAAACATGTGAGCTGAAAAATGCTACACAGATTCATTATTTTTATAAATGATATGAGTAAAATTTATTTATTTATCTTACCTTAACCTAGAGAATTAGAAGAGCGCTCAGGAGCTAGGCCGTATTATGAGTAAATTGTCTTTGTCTTCATAATTGTACTTTTTCTTCAGAGCTTCTTTTGTGTCTTTATGGGATGTGCCAACAGAGCTTATGAAGTCAAATCTTACAGATAAGAAGGAAGAGTCTGGGAAAACCAGGATGATTGATTACCCTATCTACAAACCGATTTTGACCATTTCCAGGGTTTGTTGTCTGTAACCATTGCATTAATTCAATAGTAAAAATTATCAACCAAAGACAATACCTAAACTAAGCATCACACAAAATTGTCTCCACAATAGCTTTATGTAGAGAGAAACCAATGTGCAAGGTATCAATGGCACCTGGTGTCTATACTATGAGAATAGATATAGGGAAGATCATGCACAGGTTAAAAGCCTGATGTTTTGAGCTAAAAAAAAAAAAAAACCTAGTTTGAACTTATCTGTACATTAACCAGTTGCATAGATCTCGGTGAGTTATTTAACGGTCTTGTCTTCTGTTTCTCATTTATTCAACAGAGAGAAGGTTAAAAGCATGTTGTTTTTATTAGAGTTGAATTTGATGATGCTTCTAAAGGGTTAGCTGCAGGGGAGGTCCACTGTGGGGATTTAGCCACATGCTTTTCATGTGTCATTTTTACATGTCACAGAAATGCTATGGATATATAAAGTTCCACAGTGAGATAGTCATAAAATTGGAACTGGAACTCAGGACTGTCTGAATCCAAAGCTCTCTTTCATAATCATATTTTGTTCCCTTTCTGGGCATGGCATTGTGCCTGGCCTATGGCAATTGCTCAGTAAATCACAGCAGTTATTGTTCTCTTTCATATCTGTGCCCAGATCAATTGCCAGATGGAAGTGGGTATTTTGTTCTTTAGTCATCTATATATTAGACTTGAGCATTCCTCACAGTGCTAGTGGAGCCACAACTGCCCCACACCCTCTGAGATATGGCTCTCCCAGAACCTTCATAGACAAGGCATAAAGTTGTTTGCTATGTACTTTATCTGTATTAACAATTTTACCTATTTGTAATGGGTTTGTTTTTCTAAGAAGTTTGAACTATGAGTACTCCCCTTTCTAAAACTGGTTATGAGGAAGAATAGAACAGGATATAAAAGAATATCTTAGAAACAAAGAATGGAGAATATATGCTACACTCGTGTTCAAACAGTTAAAAAAAATAAAAAAATGCCAAAATAACTTACAAAATAGATCAAGGAGACAAAACAAAAAGCCCGAAGTGTAAAATATAATGTATTATTAAGCTAGTATTTACAATGAATGAGGAGAAGATCAATTACTTCATATATACTGCACAACCATTCAGATAAAAAAAGTTAGTTCTTCTTTTCATCTCAAAACACTCAGGAAAGCACCCAATTTCAGATGGACCAAACATTTAAATGTTTAAAGTAAAACTACAAAAGAAGCAGAAAACACAGGTGATATCTCTTTGATTTCAGGGAGGGAAAAAGCTATTCAAAGCAAACAAAAAGTTAACAATGAAATCAACTATAGAGGCAAATTGTATATTTGGGAAGTTAACTGCTAAAGGAAATCTGTACATCAAAAAGCATATTAAACTAAATTGAGAGGCAAATATTAACCTGAGGAAAACATTTGCAACGTACTCTCATTGAGTTTTCACAATATTCCTGTGAGGTAGATAATAATATCTCCATTTATAATGAGGAAATTGACAGCACAGACACTTTAAGTAATTTAGTAATTTGCCCAAGGTCATTCAGCTAATGAGTGGAGGGACTGGAATTTGAACCCTCAAAAACTGAACTCCAAGCACTCTTTACCTCACACGTGGCTCCCTCGAGTAAGAAAACAGCTCTAGAGCCCAGGGCCATGATTTTGTTTGTTTGTCCCATAATAAGCAGCCATTTACTTTCAGATAATATATAGTCATACATTATTTAATGATGGAATATGTTCTTAGTAACGCATCATTAAATGATTGTGTTGTGCAAACGTCATAGTGTGTACTTAAGCAAACATACATGGTATAGCCTACTTGCAAACCTAGGCTATATTGTATGGCCTGCTGTTCTTAGGACACAATCTTGTTACTGTACTGAATACTATAGGCAATTGTGACACAATGGTAAGTATTACTGTATCTGAACATGTGTAAACATAGGAAAGGAACAGTAAACATATAGGACAAAAGGTGAAAATGGTACCATTGTACAGGGCACTTACATAGAGCTTGAAGGCCTGGAAGTTGCTGTAGGTGAGTCAGTGAGTGAGTGATGAGTGAATGTGAAGGCCTGTTTACTGTACACTACTATGGACTTCATAAACACTGGGCACTTAGATTACACTAAACTTTTTTTTTTTTTTTTTTGAGACGGAGTCTCACTCTGTCGCCCAGGCTGGAGTGCAGTGGCGCGATCTCGGCTCACTGCAAGCTCCGCCTCCCGGGTTCACGCCATTCTCCTGCCTCAGCCTCCCGAGTAGCTGGGATTACAGGTGCCCACCACCATGCCCGGCTAATTTTGTTTTTGTATTTTTAGTAGAGATGGGGTTTCACCTCGTTAGCCAGGATGGTCTCTATCTCCTGACCTCTTGATCCGCCCACTTCTGCCTCCCAAAGTGCTGGGAGTACAGGCGTGAGCCACGGCACCTGGCTAGATTACACTAAACTTATTTTTTAAATTTTATCTATTCAATAATAAATTAACCTTAGCTTACTGTCACATTTTACATTTAAACTTTTAAATTGTTTCACTTTTTGCCTCTTGTAATAGCACTTAGTTTAAAACACAAACACATTATACAGCTGCCCAAAAATATCTGTTTTTATATCTTTATTCTTAAGCTTTTTACTATTTAAAATATTTTTCTGTCACTTTTTTTTTTTTTTTTTTTTGGTAGAGAGAGGGCTTCACTTTGCTGCCCAGGATAGAGTGCAGTGGTGTGATCATGGCTCACTCCCACCTCAAACTCCTTGGCTTAAGTGATCCTCCTCTGGCTCCTGAGTAGATAGGACTAAAAGTATGTGCTACAACAACTGGCTAATTTTTTTTTATTTTTTAACTTATTATTATTGTTATTATTTGGTAGAGAAAGGGTCTCCCTGTGTTGCCCAGGCTGGTATCGAACTCCTAAGCTCAAGCAATCCTCCCTTCTTGGCATCCCAAATTGCTGGGATTACAGGTGTCTTTTACTTTTTAAAACTTTTTGTTAGAAAGTAAGACAAAAACACACACACTAGTCTAGGCCTACTCAGGGTCAGAATCATCAATGCATCACTAGGTAATAGAAATTTTTCAGCTCCATTGTAATCTTATGGGACCACCATCATATATGCCAGTTCCTTTTTCACTGAAATGTTATTATATGGTGCATGACTGTAATTTTGGGATTTCTACTCTGATTTTTTCTAACTAGAGTAAAAGAAAGTTCAATATTTAATACATAGAAACAAAATTGTGACATTAAAAAAACAAATAAAACAACTCCCTAGAAATATAGAGCTGCCATTAGAAACGCTGCAGCAAGCCTCATTGTCTCCTGAGTACCGGGCCTGACACTCGGCCTGCCCCAGGTCTGGCCATGTCTAAGTGCTGAGGAAGGAAGCCTTTCTCTAGAGTTTTGGTCCACGCCAGCATCCTTTTGCAGTTCTCCTCTGTAGCCTGCATTTTCAGGATGCTTCCATACTACGGAATGTATTATTTCCTCTCCTTGGAATGCCTGCGATCATCATAGGTATCTAGGAAACCATTTTTCAAAGTGCTAGACAGTATTAGGATATCTTTGAAGTCACCCTAGAGCTACGTAATCATTCCTAATAATAAAATAAAAACTTCCATGCATCTGTGATGCCACTCACACTAGATAATAATTTTATGTTCATTTGCCTTATTCCTCTATTAAGCTGGTCTATTATTAAGCCTCCAATTTGTCTGTTAGACCAATGATGCCCAACCTTTTTGGCACCAGGGACCAGTTTTGTGGAAGACAATTTTTTTCCACAGACAGGTGGTAGGGGAATAGGGGGAATACGGTTTCAGGATGAAACTGTTCCACCTCAAATCATCAGGTATTAGATTCTCATAAGGAACACATAGCCTAGATCCCTCACATGTGCAGTTCACAATAGGGTTCGCGCTCCTTTGAGAATCTGATGCTGTTGCTGATCTGACAGGAGGTGGAGCTCAGGTGGTAATGCTCGCTTACCCACCTCTCACCTCCTGCTCTGTGGCCTGGTTCCTAACAGGCCATGGACCAGCAGCAGTCCATGGCCTGGAGATTGGGGACCCCTGTGTTAGACAATCTCTGTGTCTCCTGAATCCAGCATAGCTAGGAACATAGGAGGAGCTGCATGATACCTGGTGAGCTGAACCAAACTCCACGGTGAAACAACAGTGCTCTGTGTTTATTCTCCAATGTGTTCATTTGAGTTCCATATCATAATTCAGCACACACTGGGAGCACAGAAGATCCCCTGACCAGCATCAGCCTGTAGGGACCTGAATGTCAGTGAAGGTTACCGCTGCCTTGTGGAAAAGGCACTGATCACTGGAATGGAAAGTTCAGGACAAATTTGGCAGTGATAAACTCAACCCCTCTGTTCTCCCTGGGCTGATTTTTCCGCTAAGAAAATCTTAAGGAGGGTCTAGCACCCACTGTGGGGTTACCATTTTTAAAGAGCTTGATGCACGTCAAAAAGAGCATGTAATTTGGGTTTGAAAGAAAGGAAGACAAGAAAGGCACAGACCGTGGTGTGTGTGTTTGGGTGGGTGGGGTGTGCTGGAAGACAGGGCAGTCTGCCACTGGGCCTCAGGCCCTGAGAGCCTGGGAGAGTCCACTGTGTTTCTCCAGGATCTTCCCTGACTCAGTTCCAGACAGGCTCTTCACAAAGACTCCTCAGTTCATCACATGATTCCCAACCCAACCAGGGGACAGCTGTCCATGCTTGTGCTGATGGTCTAGCTGGACAAAGAAAATGGGTGAACCAGGGTATATAAGTTCCTTGGAGGACTGAGAGATGTAGAAACTCTTCTAAGAAGAGTGTTTCCCTCTTTGGCTTTGTAATCTTATTGCATTATCTTTATTATCAATGACAAACAGAGCATCCACTCTGTTCCAGACATTTTCAGAGGTGCCAGGGTACAAAGATGAACTCCATCCTGAGGAACTGGTCACATCTGTCTATAGGGAATTCAGTCTATTTGTGTGCCAGAAGAGCATAAAGACACTGACAAAAAGAAAAGTCATTAAGGGGCCGGCTTCTGGAAGAGAGATGTCACTGGAGAATGAAGTAGAAAAAGGCTGGAGAAACTGGAACCAAAGGCAACAGGGACCAAGACCTCGCTCTGTCTCTCAAGAAGGACACAAAGAACAGTGATTATAGTGTACACCTTGGAGTAAGATAGACCTGGGTTTAAGTCCCTACTGTGATATTTCTAAATTCCAAAGCCTACACCCAACCTCATGCAGCATCAGTTTTCTAATCTGAAAAAGGGAAGAAAGAATATGTATCATCGTTGGGTTAAAAGAGTTGAATACTCACATAAAGCATGCTCACATAGTGTACTCACAGGCTCACCTGAGGTAGCATTCCCCATGCCTCAGTGACTTGTGGGTAGAAATGAAGGCTTACTAATATTCATGCTCAGAATTTTCAGCTGCATTGCCTCCACTGGAGGAAACAGAAGGTCATCAGCCTCCTGCATTGAGTCTCTCCATTCACTGGCAGTTTCTCTTAGATTGATACAGTCTGCTTGCCACACTGTAGCCAGAGCAGTTTGCTCCATCACCATGGCAGGGCTGCTACCAAATAGGCCTTCTTGTCCATACTCCTGTACCATACCTTTAGGTCACTGGGGCCACTGTAGAATCAAAGCACTTTGTTTAGTTCTTGGCATGCTCTATTACCTGCATACTACCGTGAGCCACATCTTCCATCACCCTGTTTGGTTCTCACCATTCTGCCATGTCTGTGAGCCTTTACCTTGCATTGCTGTGCATTGCTGTAGGCTGAGGGCCCTGCACCTACTTCAGGTTTCTCTACAGAGTTGCACTGGTTTCTAATTGTTGCTGTTACTACCACCATTGTTAGTGTTATCAGCAGACTTTTTTGACTGATCGGATTGGATTGTAAGCAAGTGCAAGTATATGTATTCATTCATTCAAAAACCACCCACTGAGCAACTATTGCATGTTAAATATTATTTCAGACAAGGAGGATGCAATAGTGAGCACAGCTGACCCAATCCCTGACCTCATTCAGAAGTTTATAGTCTAGAAACATATCTTCTCTCCCATCTTTCTGCCGGAGAAAAGAAAAACAGTGCTGCTCTGTCCTGTGTTGAATTATTTCTCAACATCTCTGCATCATCCTTTAAATGTAGTCTGTGCTCCTCCCGTCTGAGCCCTCCAACAGCATCCACTTGATCCCAGAGAAAGGAAGTAATATTCACCTAAAAATAACAAGCATATCAACCTCAGCTTCTGCCAGCCATGATTCCCTGGGAATACCATTTCTTTCAGGAGCTGGAACACAGAAAATATCAGCAGAAGTTACCCCAAATTGTTGAGCCCCCTTGGTTCCAGTCAGAATATTTTTCAAGAAAAAAGATAATTCTACTTCATTTGCTCATTGCTCTGGTTGTCAGGAGTATGATACGGAATACAAAAGACAAAGAATCAGTTTGGAAACTGCTAGAGGAATTGAGTAATGGCAAGGTCATGATTCTCTTTATTTTGATAGCTGGTGGGGAATTTGCTTCTTGCCTCTCCCTAACTGGAGTGAGGATTGCATCTTTCTCCGCTTTTTGCTGCCTACACAATCTCACTTTCTTTACAAGCCCGTTCCATTACATTCTCTTTCTCCATCCCTTTGCCATTTTTCTTATGTGTAAAACAGGAATAATAGCCATACTGACATCAAGATATGTTTTGAGGACTGAGTTGGTACATTGGGTTATGGAAACATGTCCACAGTAGAGCGCTTAAGGGTTGTGCGGCTAAGGCTTTGGAGTTTGGCTTCCTGGCTTCGTTATTTGCTTTGACTTCCCTTAGGCAAATTTTAACCTCTCTTTGTAAAATAAAGAAACTGATAGCTACTTAAAAGTTGTAGTTATGACTTACAAATCATGTCTACAAAGCATGTAGCACAGTGTCCCACATAGTAAGTAGTGAATATAACTAGCTACTAAATTTATGATGAATATTATTATATCTTTCTTTTCCTCCCTTTACCTCAAGAGTGCTACTTAATTTGCTCTGTTTTGATCTCTGTCTTTCATGCAACTCTCTATTCATTTCGGTGCAGGAAAAAACTGAGATGAGAATGACATAAAATCTGGAGACAGTGCAGGCTTTCTGGCTTCTCTTCTTAGCTACACGTGCAGCAGGGTTATGGCAGTGCAGGGAATCAGCAGATAGGGTCTCTGGCTGAGCAAGAAGTTCCAAGGGAGCACAGATATGACACTGCAGGGGGCCTGTTCTCAGGGGTCTGCAGTCCCTGTGTGACCCTGCTAGAGCCTTGCACCAGCAGCTGCAGTGTGAGGAGCACCTCCCCAAGAAGAGCCCTCTATCCTCCCACATGCCTGCTCTTTGAGCAATAGTCATCTGTTCAGGACGTATGCATTATTTCCTTCTCCATTTGTCATATGGATTGCCTAATATTTATCTGTGCTGTTTTTCACATTACTCTGAAAGGTTTCTAAGTTATACTTCTTTATGTGCTCTTGGATTGCTGGCTTACACCACCACTGCCACCACCATCAACAATACCACGACTGCTACCACCGTCAACAATATCAGCACTACCGCCACCATCAACAATACTACTGCTGCCACCACCATCAAAATCATCACCATTACCACCATGAACACCCTCACAAATACCATTATGATCAGTATCACCACCACTATCATCAACACCATCACCACCACAATCACCACCATTAACACCATTACCACCATCAACACCACCACCACCACCACCACTGCCACCACCACCATCGACACCATCACAAATACCATTGTGACAACTATCATCATTGCTATCATCAACACCATCACCACCACCACCACCATCACCACCACCACCATTAACACCATCACCACCAGCACCCACCATTACCACCACTTCCACTGTGTGTCAAGCTTCCTCTCCTCTGGGACATTTTTTCTGTTTCTGGCTCAGACTTGCACATCCCTCCTATTTGCTTTTTCTGTTTCCACATTCTTATCATTGCACATGTCACACCCACTAACTGATTTTGGATTGAATCCTATAAAATACAGCTCATGTAGATTTATCCATTTGAAATTGCTTAAATTTGACCGTTTTTGACTGTTTGCTTATTTCACATATTCAAGCTGGTATTTATCTACGCACCCCATTAAACTGTTAGTTACGTGAGAAAACAAGGAGAACTTTTACTCTATTTTGGCAACACCTGGCACAGTGCTTGATACTTGATACAGGTGCATTGAATAACTGAATGAGGCATATGGCATAAGCTTTATAGACTCTGAAGCAGTATTCAAATGTAAGAGACTGCTGCAGTAAAACAATTGAGCATATAAAAATATTTTCATATTAGGCCGGGTGCAGTGGCTCACACCTGTAATCCCAGCATTTTGGGAGGCTGAGGTGGGTGGATCACCTGAGGTCTGGAGTTCGAGACCAGCCTGGCCAACATGGAGAAACCCCGTCTCTACTAAAAATACAAAAATTAGCCAGACATGGTGGCACATGCCTGTAATCCCAGCTACTCGGGAGGCTGAGGCAGGACAATCGTTTGAACCCGGGAGGCGGAGGTGGCGGTGAGCTGAGATCACACCATTGCATTCCAGCCTGGACAACAAGAGTGAAACTCCATCTCAAAATAAATAAATAAATAAATAAATCTATCTATCTATCTATCTTCATATTAAAAATGTGACCTGTCCTTAGAGGTTGATTTGGAAATGAAGAAAAGAAAAGTGTGAGACTTTGAATCATAGAAGTTCAAATATATTCCAGAGTTCTCAGGGTAAGTCAGGGGCAGCCTTGGGGGATGAGTAGGTAGGGTCCCATTTTCTTCTTCTGTCTCTGCTGCTCTACCTTTATTTGTTTGTATATTAATGATCCAAATATACATATACACATATATATATATATTTATATTACTCATAAGAAATTTAAAAATTCTGCAATAGATGTCATGGAGCCAATAAAGGACTTCAGGCAGGGAAATGTCCTGTTGAGATTAGTAATTTTGGGATGTAATTTTTGTTTGGGGCAGGAGCATCAGTGATGGGGTGAAGAGATTGAAGCTGGAGGCCCAAGGGTCAGTGAGGAGATGGGAGCTGAGAAGAGGAGATGGGCTGGACAGGAAGCTAGGAATATTCATCTCACTGGAGGATGCGGGGACTGAGAGGGGAAGTCTGCCTTGATCCCAAGATTGGGGGTGATTAGGGGGCTATGTGGATAGCAGTGCCATTCTCAGAGACAGGTGCTGTAAGAATAGTTTTGGGGAGAAAGATAGTAAATCTGATTTGAGTTTATTGAGTGGGAGATATGACTATACAAGTCTAAAATTGATCTTGCAAAGTGGGTAGGCTGATAACTGTCTTTTTTATTTTTTCCTATTTTGTTGATGTGAAAACTGTGGCTCACAGAGGTTGCTTGAATGACCAAAATAGAAAAGAGCCAGGGAGATATAGGGCTGGTCTTGAACCCAAGATGACTACATTCTTTAATCTCTTCATTATCTGTCCACCTACTAGAAAGTCATATTGGAAGTGATGGATGCCAGCTCCCCAGGCGTTCCTGGCCTCCTTAGGATTGGATGTATCCAGAAACTGACTAGTGAGCAGCGCTTTTAATATTTTAATTAATCATTAACTGGCTTGCCCTCTGAGCACTTTTTGCTCCTGCTTTGAATTTTTAGACAGATGGCAGGCGGTTATTTCCTCAGCTTTGTCATCTTTCACATGGCAGATGAAATATCAAGCACAGACTTGGAGAAGGATCATAATTCATTATAATTAGTCTTCTTTGATCATTTGTCCTTTGTCCTAAGTACAGTAGCAACATTTAATTGTGGCTGAAGCATTAGTCAAGAGCAGTGAGCAAAATGCTCTCTCTCTCTCTGTCTTCTCTCAATATATGCCTGAGGGCACCACTGATGTTGGGAAACCATATTCTCAGTTGGCTTTTTAAATAGCTATACAGCAGCAAGTGGAAGGGGCGTTGTATTTAGAAGCCATGACATGAATATGGCCTATTTTCCTTGATCATGTTAGTATTGTTAATTAACATACTGACCATTTAGTACTGTTGTGAGGATTTAGGAAGGAAAGGAGCTAACTAACATTAACTGATGGCCTCCTCTGTGCTTGATAATTTACTGATATGCTCTCACTACCTCTTCAGAACATGTCAAGGCTGGATAACTGGGCAAAGTCATGCAGCTACCACATGGCAGAGAACCAACCCCTCAACTGCCTGAATCCAGAACCTATGCATTTGTACAAGCTTGTTTATCTGCACTCTCTTGTAGTGTATTTACTTAACAAGCCAAGTTAGATTGTAATCGAAAGCAGGTGCTGTCATATCACTGCATGAATCTTGAAAAGCATGGCTCTGAGAGGTGACACTGAGAGTGGCAGTTGCTGGATAATGTGTTGTTACAAATTAACTTCTTGCCCTGCCAATTAAAAAGCACTTTATTGAATAAAGTAATGATGCTCTTTTATGCCTGTTGTGTGATTTAGATTTTAGTAGTCAATATAATTGTATGACTTAGCTTTCAGTCTTTACACTCACTTACCCAAGTCTTATGAATCAGGTGGGGAAATGAAATTAGTTCCATTTTACAGATCAGAGAATTGAGGCTCAGTTGGTGCCACTGCTATTGAAGGTCAGCTAGCTTTTAAATAATCAGACTGTAGACATGTAGATTCATGTGGCCTCTCCTAAATAAGATCCAAGCAGTAGCAAAAATATGAAGACTTAGGCTCAGGAAAATTTTTTCTTAGAAGCTGACATTCAGCTCCAAGTCATATGGTTAGGGTTTGCTTCTTTCCACTTTTCAATTTCTGACACTAAGTGATAATTATAGAGACTGAGAAGCACCGAGTGCATTTGCTGAAGCTAATTGACTCGATGGGGGGAAGGCTGATTGTGCAGCGGAATCCAAACTACCAATTAAAGAAGAAGGAAATCACATGCACATGATATCTTGGATATTTATATCTTGGGGAACTAAAAGAGCCAGCCTTCCTTGCCACCGTGGAGACAGTCTGAGAGTCAAAGTGCCCGGCCCTGGGGTGGTCAGCTTGAGGCCTGGGTTTGGCCAAGACCGCAGCCAGCAGCACCCTGGTCAGCAGCTTCTCAGCCCCTAATGAGTGCTCTGGAGGCTGTGCTTCTAGGCTAAAATGGGAAATCTTGGCAAAGGAAGAGATTAGATTCAATGCACAATGAGAGAGGAAATCAGGCAAATAGGAGCTGCATCAATCAATTAATTATCAGAAAAAGGGGGCTCAGAATACACTAATAATGCTAACTTGTGTACAGTGCTTTGGAGTTTACAGAGTATATGGCTCTCTCAACAGCAGCCACTTAAGAAGCAGGAGTGTTTCCCCCAGCTTCCAGCAGGCAAGTGCATGCCCTGCTTCCCAAATCTCCTGGGCAAGAGGAGCTAGGCCAGGAATGCAGGCTTCTGACTTATGGTCATAGCTGCCGAGGGCTGCCTGCATTGATGGGTCCTGGGGGTGGTAGTAGGGAGTAGACTTGGTGTGGTTTGTAGCTGATTCTCCCAGGAACTGGTTTTTGTTTGTTTGTTTCTAAATTCTATCTTACTGAAGAGCATCCCTACAGTGGCACACCAGAGTGGCTGCAAGGCTAACGATAATGGGGCTATTAACTAAATAACGGTGCTGGCACAAAGAAACAGCCATGCTAGGATCTTAATTAGGCTCTGGCTGAAGCAGAGATGGAGCACATTTGCAAGAGATTTCTGGTTGACTAATCTGGTGTCAAATTAAGAGTGTTCTCTCTGGGTTGTCTCAAGTCAGTCACCGTATGACTTAAAAAGTTGTCTAAACGAAGAATTCCAAGTGGGCCAATTTCTCAGGAGAAGAGAGGACTTGCTTCCCCAAGAGCTAGCTCCCTGGAATAGATTAGCACCAGGATCCCTTTGTCTTCGTTGACTAACAGTTTAACTTTACAGGCTTCTCAGCTGGGAGTCCACTGTTTCTGTCCCACTAATAAGGGCTGAAGTCTGTCCGGCTGTGTACCTGGGTTACTAGAGCTGAAAAGCACTTGGCAGTCCTGGATGGGCTGTTTATGAGTAGTTCTTCTATCTGCAGCAGCAGTTAAATGGTTCTGGGAAATGAATCAGGATCAAAGGGGAGCTTGAGGCCAGGGCCCAGAACCTGGGCTCTTAGGGGGTGGGGGGCAGCAGAACAGAACAAAGTAGTAGGGAAAGCATGATGTCACACGGACCTTGTATCTCACGTGACCTCTGCTCTTCCCACTGGTTGTGGGGTAGAGCCATCATGTTAATTCTGCTGGGCCTTTTTCAATACCTTTAAAATGGGCTTATTCATTTCTATGTCATGTAAGAGTCATGAAGTTTGGATGAGGTTAGAGTTTATGACTCTAGCCAGGGACACAGTAAATACTCAGGGAACAGTCGTTGCTTCTGGATCTATCCAGCTTCTTTAGAGGCCTGATGTCTCTATCAGGATGTGCCTTGTGATTGCCCAGGCACTCATGCCTGTTTAGATTGAGGTCCCAACCCTCCTGACTTCATTGGCTCTGCCCAGTGGTGCACTCCCTTGACCTCCTCTATTCTTGCCGTCACTTCCAGGCACCTGTGTCTGGCTTTTCTCTTCAGTGAATAATTCAAATCCTATCATCCTCTGACTATTCCTCCTCTTCTCCTCCAACCTCTGTCTCTTCTACTTGGTACAGCAACTCTGACTGCCCTTGGAATAACACCCTCCCCAGCTCAACCACTGCCTGCCAGAGTCATGAACTCTAGAAGCAGATTCCACCAGGCTTTCTTCCCCAAAAAGAATATGCATCACAAGAGGCACTTGAGTAGGGAGAGGGGATCTCTGAAGCAATGCCCTAACCCCCTTCTTTGGCTTTTTGATGGATTATGTTGGGTGGAAATCAACTTCAACATCCATCTTCTAGTGGAAGCTGACTCCTCTGATTGCCACTAGGGAGATAGGGGCTTAATGAAACAGAATTATTGGACTAGGAAAGTATAGGCCTTGAAATCGACCTGCTTCTAAAGGTAAACAGGTAGGCAGTTCAGGCCAGGAAGCTGGAAGAAGACTGGTAAATAAGCAGGATGCTGCCTGAAGAACCCATGCAGAAAGGTGATGAATGGAGATCCAGCAGGCAGGTGGGGTCAGCGACTCTGGAAATAAGGACACAGCATTAACGGTCAGGCCAGTACCCAAGAAATTAGACAGACATGTGCTGCTGAGAATAGGGTGAATGGAAGCAGAGTCTAGATCCTCAGGTTAAATAAACGATGGTCACAGGAGGAACATGGCATAGCCTGGAAGGAGGGGCACACACGATGAGGAGGTGAGGACAGGCAAGGGGAAGGGGAAGGGGTATTATGCTGGGTTTCAGGATTTGGGGCCCTAGTACCCTGACCAAAAAAAAAAAAAAACAAAACATATTGGCCATACATTTTTAAGCAGGCGAAGGCGGGTGGACAGGGATCCACAAAGAGCTTCAAGGATGTGCAAGCTGGTAATTCCACAGACTGACTTTGCAGAGATTCTATCAACTTATTTAAATAGGGGACCGTTATTGAATTTTTACCTGTTCCCCAGCAGATAGAATCAAATGAGACAGCATGTGAAGGAGCCCTGTAAACAGTCAAGCACTGCACTTTATTGACAAGTTTATCCTTTATAGAACTGCTGGTGTTCTGTGAGCCCATTATTGTACTCACTAAATATTAGCTACTCAAACATTTGCTATTATGATGTGGCAGGGAAAATTGTGAAGTATTAATTTACATTTATGCATTTCCTCTTGCCCTTATCCAAAAAGGTAGCAGGCTCTGGGCTTCCTGGCCTGCAATACACTTCTGTTCCTCATTTTATCTCTTCCACGCTGCCAAACTCATGGTGAATATTTAAGAGGCAGAGGCCCTCTCAGGGAAACAAGTAAAAATGGGATATGTTTTCCTTTGATCTGAAGACAATTTGCAGTCCTGGAAAAGGAAGGAAGGATTTTGAATCCTGCTGAAGAGGGAACTTGTGCTCTATTCCCTGGTAGCAGACCAGGAAGGTGGCCTGCTTTCAGAGAGAGAAGACTGTGAATCCACACCAAGGGGCCCCAGGACCCTAAGCTGCTGGACAGGAAGGGAACAAGAGGACAGGAATAGTAGGGCACTCACTGGTGACTTGTGACGATGGATGTCCTGTGACTGATGAGCTAAGGCATTCATGCTACCAAACAGCTCTGGGCCTTCTACCACTCTGAGACTTAGGGGCATGGTAGAGGAAGGGATTTAAGCTCAGTCATAAGTATATTTGATTTTCTTTCCTCCTTGGTAGAGAAGGATATATCATATTAAATTTAACTTGATTTTAAGGAAACGAGTAATATGGCCTTTGTGCCCATATTCATGTTGTGTGTGTGTGTATGTGTGTGTGTGTGTATTTTGAAGGTCATATATTTTGCATAACTGTTATATGATCACATATCTCCTAAGGGAAATGGAAAACATTTGCCCAGCACCTGCTATATATGCCCCTGTTTCTAGCACATCACTAAGGCAATCAATTTGAGACTTCAGAATAACCTATGAAGTATTAGTGTCCTCTTTATATAGATAAGAAACTGAGTTAAATAATGTTTAAGTGATTCTGCACTAGGATAGGTGGTTAGTGTTAGAACTAGGATTTAAACCCAGGTCATGTGATCCCAAAGCTCAACCTCCCTCCACCACATCACGCTGGATTCCCCAAGAAGGAGGAGGTTAGCAGTGATGCTCCTCCCTTGCATGAGAAGGGTGGGCGCCTATGGCAGGAGGTTTAATAACTATGAACTGTGATATAAAATAATTCTCTTGAATTTATATGGAAGTGTCAGACCTTTAGAGGAAGTGTCAGACCTTCAGAGGGGGCACTGCTGAGAGGCTGAATCATTGAGGTGGATGAGATTACATATGAGAGACCTTCAATGTGACCCAGATCTGTTTTATTTTAAAAAACAGTTATCACTGTCCTCACCACCATCTCCCTGCTGACCACCACCTTTTTAAATCTCAGCATTGAGGAGAGATTTCTATGGATACATTGGCATTGTCCAGGAGACAGGTGACACAAAAAGACCTGACAGATTTCTCCTAGGCAGAGAATTATGTGAGGAGGGTGTTGAATTACATCTAGGAATAGAATAGTCTGCTGGCGCTGCAGCTACAGGGAAATGCCTCACTGAATATCAGCAGGCACTTTAGATCTATTGCATCTAATGGAATCTTCAGTGTGATTTAAAGAAGTAGATATTCTGATTTGATTCCTGTTATTTTGGTGGTCATGGGGAAGGATGGGGAGTGATATTGAGAGGAGAGAGAGAGAGAAAGAAAGGGAAGGAGGGAGGAAGGGAGAAAGAAAAAGAATCTTTGTATTTAAATCAGTGACAATGGGAGAAAAAAACAAACAACATTCCTGATTTCTTGCTATCATTGAGCATAAATATCATTATTTAACTCTTATAGCTCAGAAAGATAAGCTCCCAGTCAGCTAGGTTTTAGCTTCTTTGTGAAATGAATGAGCTCCCCTGAAGCTCATCACATGCATTCCTAAATAAGTTTGTAAGGGAACTACAGTTATTCACTTGGCCTGTTGAGTTCTTTTCATTTTGCTTTTCGAAAATGGTTCTTAAGTGAAAAGACACATGTTTATTGCCTCCTTCATTCTTTCCCTCCCCTTTTCCCTCCCTTCCTTCCGCTTTCCTTCAATTTCCCCCTGCTTCTTTTCCTGCTATGAACACTTATTGAATGCTTGTGTTTACAAAGCGTTGAGACAAGTACAAGGGAGATAGTAATGGTCAGACACAAAGAGCTCCTGGTGCACTCTGTAAAGAAACCCAGATCTGTAGAAAGTTAAAGAAGGACCCATGGAGCAAGAGGCATATCAAACAGAACTTAAAGGTGAGTGGCACTTCAGGAGACAGAGATGCCTCTTAGTGGTGGTGGTGGTGGTGGTCATGGTGGCGTGGTGTTGGGGGAAAGGTTCTGATGAGGAATGTGCATGAGAAAACTGACAAAGACGTACAGTTCAGGGAGTGATCATGGCTAGGCCATGGTGGCTAGAATAGGAGTGGGTATGCATGGCATATCAGGGACCAATTGTGAAGGTGGAGAGCCAGCCTCTGAGTACCTAGGAGCCAAGCTATTCCTCTGGGTACCTGGCCTTGCCGAAGATTTCTGAGTACATAGGAAGCCTGGCCTGCATGGGCATGCAGACATGAGCTCTGTGTGTCTGAATGCACATTAGTACAAGATGTTTACTTGATGTTGCATTTCAGATTAGATGGTGAAAATGAATGGATATTATCATTATTATTTCCTTCTAATTACTTCCTTAGTTAAGGTCAAAATAGAGCCAGAGATGATCATTTTTTCCCTTGCATCTTTGAATGTGCATGCTAAGAAACGCAATGTAGTGGCAAGCTAATCGCTTTCATCCCATCTCACCTAGTCAATTGTACAAAAAACTTGCCGTGTTTCTACTTTTCCAGACTGTAGAAGAGGGAAGTGCTGGGGGCCTCTGTGTGTGCTGCTGTCAGGTGGGAGCCCTCCCTCTGGCCTCTTTATAACCTGTTTCTGAGATGCAGAGCTCAAATCCAATGCCATGTCAAGGCACACTGTAAAAGAAGGGCTTTGGGTTTCTGAGCTCCCGTCTAAACAGATCTCTATTTATTGGGATTAATTGATCATTAATATTTGCAGTAAAGATATCTTTCAGTGAGAGTCAAGAAACTTGGTAGAAATCGCTGAGGCCTTGAAGCCAGATAGAGGTAGATGAAAGATCTGTCCTCACTACTCATGCTGTGGGTAACTTCACACAAGTGGCTGAAACCCTCTAGGCTTCAATTTTCTCCTCTCTTGAGAATGTATTATAAGGATAATATGAGACGGAATGTGTAAAACACATTATAAGTACTCAATAAAAGAGAACGATAATTATTTAACAGTGTTAGCTACAGGGACAGAAATCATGGAGAGTTCAATAGTACTTTGTTAAGACTGGAAAGATTCTGCACCCTCACAATAGAGTTCGTCAGAGGCCCATGACTGCCTAATGGCACTTTGCAAAGAAAGCTGATAAGCTGGAGGCAGGTTCCAGCAGTGCCCAGAACTCAGCCAGGTTAAACAGCAATGCTGTGTCTCAGTGACAAACCTCAGTGTCCTCTGGCAATGGTCACATTTGCTGTTAGCTCCAGCTCTGGTTGCTGTCCTGCCTGGGTTCAGCTCAGCAATCCTTTTGCCCACTGTTGTTTCCAGAAACAAGTCTCAGCTCCATTTCCCAGAAACAGTCCTTAGTTGAAGTGAGAGCTTCCAACCCTGCCTCCTCAAGCTCCCCTGCCCTACTCAGCCTTATCAGGGACCTCTGTTTATACAGCTAACCTGCCCCATTCCCCAGTCTGCTGTCCACACAATTCCCTGGTTCTCCCAGGGGCCTGGTTCTGCGGCTGTCTTTCTTTTTTGATGGTCCCTGCACCTCTCTGTGCAAGAGCTGACAGAGACTCCAGGCTCCTCTGTGGTCCTCTTGTTGCTGGACTTTTTCCTTAGTTCAGCTAAAAACGGGATCCTTGTCACATGACCATGAAAGATTAGGCACACAGACACTTCGAAGGGTGAGAAGGGCAGGCTTTATTGGATGAAAAGGGGAAAAAGGGAAATAGTGACTCTCAGCAAAGCAAGAGTCCTGCAAGTAGACTTCCTACCTCACAGATTGAAACCCATTTGACCACCCTGGAACTCGAGAGGCCAGGCGCCTCTCCCCTACAAACGGTCCGAACTTCCCACGGCTCCACCCCATTCTCCCAGTGTGCAGGCCTGTTGGAGGCTCTCTGGGGATCTCTTTAAACTTGGCTGTCTCACTCTCTGTTACCTGGTTGCCTGCTGGCTGTCAACCCACCTGAACTATTGAGAGATCATGGGACATTCTGAAGGCATTTCTTAATGTTCCTCCTCTGGCCCAGTTTAAATGACATCTTCTCTGCAAACTATATTACATAAAGCTTTTTTATTTTAACCTATAGGCTTACTTTTTCTCAAAGAAAAATTGTAACATAACTTCAGGGAAAATTAAAACTGAAAGAATTCTATTCGTAATCAAGGTTTGCGACTGGGCACGGTGGCTCATGCCTGTAATCCCAGCACTTTGGGAGCCCGAGGCAGGCAGATCACAAGTTCAAGACCTGCCTGGCCAACATGGTGAAACCCCGTCTCTACTAAAAATACAAAAATGTGGCAGGCACCTATAATCCCAGCTACTCCTGAGGCTGAGGCAGGAGAATCACTTGAACCCAGGAGGCAGAGGTTGCAGTGAGCTGAGATGGTGCCATTGCACTCCAGCCTGGGCTACAAGAGCAAGACTCCATCTCGAAAAAAAAAAAAATCAAGGTTTGTATATTTCTTAAAGTTTGGAGCCAAATTATAATTGATTCATTCAGCAAATAACCAAGCATCTACTGTGAGGGACTGTGTATGAGCCAAGTAGGATAAATTACTTAATATGAGTGGATGGTGGAGATAAATCATACTTGAAATTGAAAAAAAAAAATACTAGAACAAATCCTGTCTCTTGCTCCTATGTAACCATAATCCTTTAATCTTCAAATTAACCATGGTCAAATTCTTAATATCTTTTACCACCTATAAAAAGATTGGTCAGTCTTTGAAAAATTAAACAGACATTTGGGTCCCAGAGCCTGGGGCATTGAACACATTTTATTCGAAATAGGTTTTGTATGGATGTGTGCCTATTCCATGTAGAAGCAGACATAGCGAGATGGAGATACAGCAAGGAAGCCCCTTAAAATACACTAGTTCAATGATGAGAAATGCACTTTCTGCAAAAACAGCTTCACAGGTATATAAGTGACAGTTCGGAGTCCTTTGATTGGTGTTTTTGAAAAGAGAGATTGAGATTAAGAGAATTTGTGCTGATTTCCAATAGCTCTTCTACCTTAAAATATTTTTTATGACAGAGGCTACTTATTACAATATTTTCAAATGGGTTATCAAGCATCGCCGTTTTATGGCAATTCCCCTTCGGGTATCCCTGTCCAAATAATGTGCATTTCTACTTGACTAATTCATTTAGGAGGACAACAGACACCTCAGGGGAGACATTTAAAGTCTTTCTTCAGAAGGACTCCCATGTGTGGTAATGAGAGCATGTTTTCCCCTTTTCTTTCTTCTCTTCCATTATCTCAGATAACAGGAATTAATTAGTGTCCTACAGTCTTTTACTTTAAACTCCACTTTAAGAGACTCATCTACTAAGTGACTTTGTTGTTTTATTATTTTGTTTTGATTTTTCTTATTCTTGAAAACACCAGGGCTGCTTCTAGAATTTCTTGAATAAGCCAAGCCAACAATAGGCACAATGCTGCCTTTTCTGTGGGTAAATACCCACTCTTCACTAAGGGAAGGGGTGTGGTGCAGACATTGTAGGAAAGTGGTGCTCATTTTCCTTCTGAGCTGATGCACAGTGCCTGCTGCAGTTTCTAAAAACAGCCTGCTAACATAACAATATACCAACTTCAGGAAAATTAGTGTGGGCTTTCTGTGAACACACCCAGTTGTTGACACACTTTCTAAAGCAATCCTGTGATTGTACAGTCATGGTGCTAGACAGTGTGATGTCTGTGCGCACCAGCTTGCTTTTCTGCAGTGTTCACTCTATCAAGCTAAAATGGAGTGCCTATTCAGAACCACGCACTGAGCTGTGTGTTTTAGTGGGTGAAGAAAGGAACTGCTCTTTGCCCTTTAGAAATTTAGAGGGTGACTAGAGTTATAAAGTAAGGAAGAAATAAATGGATTATAGACCAAATGCAGCCAGCGTCATGGAGAGGTATAGTAAATGTATTAGGGGTGACAAAAATTGTTTTTCAGTTTAAAAGAGTCAACAGACTGGTGTCAGCAAGATTTCCCCCATGGCAACATGAAAACAAACAAACAAACCAACAAACAAACAAAACCAGCAACTAGAAACGGACTAAAATAACTTTGTAGGGACTCGGAAATTGGCAAAGGTATACAGCAACCAAATAAACACCCAATCATGGAAAAGCCACATTCAAAATGATGGGGAGCTTTGTGGCATTTTCACTTGCCATTGCCCCTTTGCCTTCCCAGTGTCGTTCAGCACAGTATGAGGGAGTTGGTGGCCCAGTCCTCAGCTCCCTTCGGTGAACTGAAGATTGCAGAGAACTGAGTTTGCAACATCCTAACTTGTCTTCAGGCTGCTTGAGGTGTCACTAACTCAGTGTATAAAAGAGCAAAACTAGATTTGACCGCAGTCTGAAGGAAGCCATGGGAAGCAGTGGTGATGCCTCATGAAAACTGCAAGGAGCTACAAACGTGAAGACCCCTGAGACAAGAGATTGCCTGCTGAGGAATACAATTGAACAGCTAAGGCCCAGAGGAGAAGTAGGGGTGTGACTCTTAGATAAAATAAGACATTTAAAAACTATCATGTATATGAAGAATTGGGGGAAAAAATGATGCATTCACAGGACCAGGAATATACATGTTCAGAACAGTCCCTCAAGCCTTAAGAGAGGACTTTAAGGCTTTATGTCATACCGATGAGTGAATGCCTTCTTCTGCATGGACTATGTGCAGAGACTGGAGAGGTGTCTGTGTCTGTTTTTTGCAAGTACTCTATTTTCTATGAGAGATCAGAGATATACAAAGAAATATGAATGCATGGTCCATTCAAAGGAAAAAACAAAATCCCCAGAAATAGTCTCTGAAGAAATATAGGCACTGAGCTTACTAGATAAAGACTTTTAAATAGCTGACTTAAATTTTCTCAAGGAGCTAAAGAAAAACATGAATGGATGACTAAAATAAATCAGGAATATTATATATGAACAAAATGAGAATATCAACAAAGAGATAATATATTTTAAAAAGAAGTAAACAAATTATGGAGCTAAAACATACAATAACAACTGAAAATTTCACTAGAAGGGTTCAACAGCAGATTTGAAGAAACAGAAGAACTAATCATAGAACTTGAAGACAAGTCATTTGACATTATTGAATCTGAAAAAGAAAAAGGAAAAATGAATGAAGAAAAGTGAATGGAGCCTCAGGGATGTGTGGGCCATTACCAAGGGGACCAATGTATGTACTACAGGAGTCCAAGAAAGAGAAGCAGGAGAGAAAGAGGAAGATATCTTATTTAAAGAAATAATGACTGAAAACATACTAAATTTAGGAAAGAAATGAATATACAAATACAAGAAGCTCAGTGAACTCCAAATAGGATAAATTCAGAGAGAGTGTACCTATATTAAGACAAATTATAATAAAAGTATTGAATTCAAAGACAAAGAAAGCATCTTGAAAGCAGCAAGAGAAAAGCCAGGTATGATAATTCCTTCTAAGATTATCAGCATATTTCTCTTGAGAAACACTGCAGGCCAGAGGGCAGCGGGATGGTGTATTTAATGTGCCGAAAGAAAAAAAAAAGGAAGAAAAAAAACTTATCAACCAAGATCTTAAATCCACAGCCTAGCTTTATACTTTAAAAACCTCGAAAAACAGCAAGAAAAAGCTAGCAGAAAGAAATAACAAAGATTGGAGCAGATAGACACAAAATAGAGAACAGAAAAAGAATAGAAAAAATATATATAAATGAAACAATGAGTTGGTTCATTGAAATTTTAAATAAAATTGACCAACCTTTAGCTAGATTAACTATGATTGAGAGAAAAGACTCAACTAAATTCAGAAATGAAAGAGGGAAAAATACTAACACCAATTTTATTGAAATACAAATAATTATAAGACAGTATTATAAACAATATAACCAACAAATTGGATAATCTAGGGGAAATGGCCAAATTCCTAAAAACATACAACCTACTAAGACTGAATCATAAAGACATAGAAAATCTGAATGGACATATAATTATCCAAGACATTGCATCAGTAATGAAGGAGCTCCTGAGAAAGAAAAGCCCAGGAACAGATGGCTTCATGGGTGAATAGAATAGAAAGCCAAGAAGTAAACTTTTACATATATGGTTAAATGCTTTTCTACAAAGATACCAAAACCATTAAATGAGAAAATAACAGTCTTTTCAAAAAATTATATTGGAAAAATTGGATATTCACATGCAAAAAAATTAAGTTAGACCCTTATCTTACACTATAAAACAATTAACTGAAAGTGGATCAAATACTTAAATGTAAATTTAAAATGCTAAAAATATTAGAAGAAATACAGGGGAAAAGCTTCATGACATTGGATCTGGCAATGATCTTTTGGAAATGACATCAAAGCCATAAGCAACAGCAACAAGAAACATAAATTGAACTACATCAAAATTAAAAACTTTCATGCATTAAAGAATGTTATCAATAGAGTGAAAAGGCAACCCATGGAATGGGAGAAAACATTTGAAAATTACACATCTGATAAGCAGTTAAGGTCCAAAATATATAGAGTTCCTACAACTTGACAATTAAAAAACAACTTGATTTAAAAAAAGAGCAAATGACTTGAATAGACATTTCTCCAAAGAAAATATCCAAATGGCCAATAAGCACATGAAAAGAAATTCAACATCAACAATCACTAGGGCAAGGCAAATCAAAAGCATGAAAACATAGTCCCTCACAGTCATGAGGATGGCTAATATGAAAAACAAAGCAAAACAGACAAAACAACAAAACAAAAAACAAGTTTTGGTGAGAATGTGGAGAAATGACATCCTTGTGCACTGCTGGTAAGGATGTAAAATGGTGCAGCCACTGTGGAATAGTATGTCAGTTCCTCAAAAAATTAAAAATAAAACTACTTTATGATCCAGCAATTTCACTTGTAGGTATATACTCGAAATAATTGAAAGCAGGGACTTCAAGAGATATTGATACACTCATGTTCATAGCAGCAGTATTCATAATAGCCAAAGGTGAAGTCAATCCAAGAGTCCTTTGATGGATGAATACATGAACAAAATATGGTATATATACACAATGGAATATTGTTCAGCCTTAAAAAGGAAGAAAATTCGAACACATGCTACAGCATGAATGCATCTTGAAGACATTATGCTAAGTAAAACAAACCTGTCCAAAAAGGTCAAATACTGAATGGCTCTCCTTATATGAGGTACCAAAAGTAATCAAATTCATAGAGACAAAGAGTGGAATGTTGGTTGCCAAGGGATGTGTATAGAGGGAAATGGGGAGTTATTGTTTGACAGTTACAGATATTCAGTTTGGGATGATGAAAAAGTTCTGGAAATGATACTGATAATGGTCACACAACAATGTACTTAATACCACTGAAGAGTATACTTAAAAATGGTTAAATAAGAAATTTAACATAATGTATATTATACTACAATAAAAAATAGTAAAGTTTTTTGAAAAGAATCAAAATAAGCCTTATGGAATAAATGTCATTTGACACGTGAGTTCCGAGTTCATCCAGTTAATTCATCCAGACTTTCCCTTTTGGAAAGGATGGATGACAAGTCTGGCACTACTTCTGGGCCAGGGTGAACAGCAGAATCTGAGTATAAAACCACATGTGAACTAGTGCTGCAGAAGCTGATGTTCAAAAAGGTCCATAAAATCAAAAGAGAGGCCAAGTGTGGGGATTCCATATGGAGAACCATGAGGACTGATGGCAAAGATCCCCAGAATGCACCAGGAGAATAAGAAGGAGAACAAGAACCTCAACTGTGACCTGAGACATGGGAATACCAAATCCACACAAGGAGTTAAGGGAGGAAATGTCAAGTAGGGTCTCACGAGCAGAGTTGGGTTCCAGAAGAAAGAACATGACCAACGCAGTGAGATGAGAAATAGGTTTATTGAGATACATAATAATAATAATGCCAACATAGACCACTAAGGGCTTTAATGTATATGAGCACAGGGACCCATTAACTGGATTGTATTATTATCCCTTTTGCCATTGGTAATTTTCCTATTATGTGTCCGAGCAAGTATTTGAACCCAAAGACCTCAGAGCCCATGCCCTTGACCACTTATGCTATAGAGAGAGAATTAGCTGAGTATAACACAAAACATGAAGTCATTTGAATCACATTTTAAAGGGCTGACCTTCAGATGGTGGCATTTACTGGGCCTTGTGGAACCTTGATGTTTTTTAGCAGGCAAGAGATGAGAACAGAAATTACTCTGGGAAGACAATTTGGCAACACAGAAATGAAATAATTTGATGAATGTCAAGGCTGAAATTAGGGAGATCAGTTAGGGAACATAGAGGAATAAGGCATAAACCGAGGGGACAGGAATGGAATGTGTGGACTCAAAAACCTTTGAGGAAGTTGAATCAAGTGGATTTAGCTACTAATTAGCTGAACAGTGCCAAGACTCCGGGAGAGTCTGCAATGACTCTGGGACATCTGAAACTATGGTGAGGCCAAGTGTGCAATGATGTAAGCAGGGATAAGGAAAACGGGACTACTCTGTGGTGGTTGGAATTAATTGTCAGAAATCCCCAATCAAATCCCCTCTGGGATTTGAAGAATACATTTTTAAGATGCATAATTAGTCTGAAAGTAATAACATGAATCCTAAAATGCTTACGAATCCCTTTACTACCATGGATACTAAGCTCTTTAATAGGGCACAAGAACCTCTGTTAACTGGGTGAGATTTAGGAGTTCAGCAATCACAAGACAGCTCCAGCTATTTGAGATTATGCTGAGTGTTGGCTTGTGTCACTCTTTTTTTTTTTTTTTTTTTTTTTTTTTTAATTTATTTTTTTATTGATAATTCTTGGGTGTTTCTCACAGAGGGGGATTTGGCAGGGTCATGGGACAATAGTGGAGGGAAGGTCAGCAGATAAACAAGTGAACAAAGGTCTCTGGTTTTCCTAGGCAGAGGACCCTGCGGCCTTCCGCAGTGTTTGTGTCCCTGATTACTTGAGATTAGGGATTGGTGATGACTCTTAACGAGCATGCTGCCTTCAAGCATCTGTTTAACAAAGCACATCTTGCACCGCCCTTAATCCATTTAACCCTGAGTGGACACAGCACATGTTTCAGAGAGCACAGGGTTGGGGGTAAGGTCACAGATCAACAGGATCCCAAGGCAGAGGAATTTTTCTTAGTGCAGAACAAAATGAAAAGTCTCCCATGTCTACTTCTTTCTACACAGACACGGCAACCATCGGAAAGGTGGGGAAAAGATTGAGAAATCCGATGGCTTGTGTCACTCTTGAAAATTACTTTGAAGTCTTTTAGACTTATCCTATTATATCCTTTTATATGCCACGCCAGTTGAAACTTGGAAATAATTAAAAACAATAGACAAGAACCTGCTAATCTTTTATGGTATTCTTCTATTTAGGAAATAATTGATTGGGCGAAGTGGATTACATTTCAATATTCAGACAGGCTCCTTTTGTTATTACTTTTGACTCTATCTGCTTTTTAAATTACCTTGCCTATTTTGAAAGCACAGTACAGTTTTCTTATGTTTCTCTTTTTGGTGCAAGACAATGTAGAAAGGCTCATGGTGTAAAGGTGAAGGATATCCACTATCCAATTTAATATCCTTACATGACTAACATTTTTAGAGAAATAGTCCTTTGAAATTAATAGGAGGTGATGTGACAGTGGAAAAAAATGTAAAAATCAATCAGACTTGATTTTCAATACTGGTGCTGGCACTTAAGAGCTTTGGGATTTTGGAAATTGAATTAAATAATTGATCCTCAATTTCTTTGTCTGAAATATAGGAATAAAAATACCTTTAACTCAGGGTTATTATGAGGTTTGGTACATACGTATATTTATATGTAACTATATGTATACACACAGACATACACATCACACCTATAGACAGAGAGGAAGGGGGGAAGAGAGGATATGCACGCGTGTGTAGTCTTGGCACATAGTAAAAAAACTGGCCGGGCGCGGTGGCTCATGCCTGTAATCCCAGCACCTTGGGAGACAGAGGTGGGCGGATCACCTGAGGTCAGGAGTTGGAGGGAAAAAAAAAAAAACAGCTGGGCGTGGTGATGCATGCCTGTAATCCCCAGCTACTTGGGAGTCTGAGGCAGGAGAATCGCTTGAACCCGGGAGGCAGAGGTTGCGGTGAGCCGAGGTCGCGCCATTGCACTCCAGCATGGACAACAAGAGCAAAACTCTGTCTCAAAAAAAAAAAAAAAAAAAAAAGCCCGGCACCGGGGCTCATGCCTGTAATCCCAGCACGTTGGGAGGCCGAGGCGGGCGGATCACGAGGTCAGGAGATTGAGACCATCCTGGCTAACATGGTAAAACTCCGTCTCTACTAAAAACACAAAAAAATTAGCGGGGCGTGGTGGTGGGCGCCTGCAGTCCCAGCTACTTGGAAGGCTGAGGCAGGAGAATGGCGTGAACCTGGAGCGCGGAGTTTGCAGTGAGCCGAGATGGCGCCACTGCACTCCAGCCTGGGCTACAGAGCGAGACTGCGTCTCAAAAACAAAAACAAAAACAAAAACAAACAAAAAAACCTTACCATTTAAAAAACGTGTTCTGTCCTGCCCTAAGAAAGAATGCCTAATGTTTTTGAGGTTCATCTGCTATGATAAATGAAAGAAGCCAAACTCGAAAGATTGCGTATTGCAGGATTTCATTCATAAGAAAGGTCAAAAATTCACAAATTTAATTAGGACACAAAGTAGATTAGTGGTTGTCTAGGATTGGGTAGTGGGGTTGATAATGGCAATTTACAAGTATAAGGTTTATTTTCTTTTTGCAGTGGGAAATATCTTAACATTAGATTTGTGGTAATGGTTGCACCACTCTGTAAATGTACTAATAATCATTGAATTGCACACATTCAACAGGTGATGTTTAAGCTATAGTAATTACATCACCAAAAAGTCATTTTAAAATAAAAAGGATGATATTTCTGTATACTAAGCTGACTATCCTAAGTAAAATAATTGGTGCTTATGAAAAAAAGAAACATTATTTGTGCTTTGGGGTTAAGGAAGTCTCTCCTGTATTTGTCTTTAAATATTTCTTTTTGTGTGTTGACCATTTTTTTGGTAATAACTCCCCAAATCAGAGTGGTATATGAGAATCATTTTCTCATTTACATTACATATTGGCATCTATTCAGGTCTGTTTGTGTTTTGCCAGCCCCACTCTGCTCTGATTAGCTCTGGTCCACACGTATTCATACAGCCCGTGCATGGCACATGCTTATTCTCATGGCACAAGAGAAAACTAAGCCAAACCTATTAGCACTTAAAGCTTCTGCACAGATATACCCTGTTTCATAGCTGCTTCCGTGTCATTGGCTAACGCAGCTCACATGGTCAAGCCTAGTGCTGATGGAAGTAAACTTGCACTTCTACCATGGAGTGAGGGGATTATGAATATTTCTGAACAATAATACAATGAGACAATCTACCAGTGTTGGAGGACGATTTGGCTAACATCCTGACTTGAGCTTAATCCTCTATCAGTGCTTCCCATCCCTTCTACTCTCTTACTATCCAAAGTATATCTCATCTTCCTCTTTTCCCACTGGGATTTACTGTAAACCCTTTTCTCCTCCACCATGAAAAACTCTGCCAAGGAGCTTGCTGTCATTCCCAGCTACCATCTCATGCCTTCCATTTCTTGTACTGCCAGACTTCACAATTATGACCAATTGGTGTCCTTACTATTTCTCTATCATACATTGTTTTTATTTCTCTATCATATTTAACTGCGTTATGACTTGAAACTTCTCAATCCATTGGATTTACTCTTTCTAAAGCCTCTAATGGCCTTAGTTGCCAAATCCATGACATTTCTTCAGCCATTATTTATTTTGATGGTAGTCATATTTGTACCGTGAACTCATAAAGTGCAGCGTGTCTGATCCCCCTTATTTGCCAGGTTCCACATTCTTCTCCCCCACACTTCCTTCCTGTGTGATCTGGTATAGTCCCAGGTTTTACTTTCTGAGAGTGTGACTCCCATATTAACATGTTTATTTCTGGCTTTCTTAAGTAAGAAATTAAAGGGTCAAAATGATTACTCTATTTAATTAATCATTCATTTACATATTAACATTGCTAATCTGTTTTTGAACAGGATGGAAACAGAAAACACTTCTCTGGGAAATTTAAAGGTAATCTTAGGTTTAATAATTCTATTCATAAATATTACTGTATGTAGTTGAAATTAGTTCACAAATTATAAATTACAATTCTAGGCCGGGCACGATGGCTCACACCTTTAATTTTAGCACTTTGGGAGGCCGAGGCAGGCGGATCACTTGAGGTCAGGAGTTCAAAACCAGCCTGGCTAACATGGTAAAAACGCATCTCTACTAAAAACACAAAAAAGTGAGCCAGGCATGGTGGTGGGTGCCTGTAATCTTAGCTACTTTGGAGGCTGAGACAGGAGAACTGTTTGAACCCGGGAGGCAGAAGTTGCAGTGAGCTGAGATCACGCCACTGCACTTCAGGCTGGGCAGTAGAGTGAGACTCCATCTCAAAAAGAAAAAATTACAATTCTGTAGTAGAAATACAGTATTATGTTTCGAAGCACAGCTTAGCTCAATGCCTGTATCTAGTGATTTTTCTCTCCATTTTTAAAACCAAACATATACAAATAGGAAATATTAGGGATTATACGTGTAGAATTAGATGTGCTCTGTGAAAAAAAAAATCCACATGTAGAATTATGCAAAATACTTGGGCAAATGTAAATATACCACAACTGTTTTTATTAAATCACTATTTTTAGTTATCATGTTGTCTTTATGAGCATTGAGCACACTTAGTAGAAAGGCTGCCACACTGTGTTTAGCCTTGTCATCCTGGAACAAGATTTTTCATCTTGAATAGTCTGATACCAAGACTGAACCCATCTACTGCAAAGACCTGTGTTCTGGGAACGCAAAGAATATTCTGACCCCCTTTTCCAGTATTGAGCTGAAATCACAAAGATTTTGTGGTATAGTGATAAGAGCTGTAAGATTTGGGTTTCTATTCCTGGCACTAACCTTGGAGTACGGGGACTTGGGAGAGGTGTGGTGTAGGGAAACAGGCAAGGTCAGTGCTACACAGAGTGTGATTCTTGGATAGGCACCATCAAAGGGACCACGGAGCTTGGTAGAAATACGCATTTCTAGGTTTCACCCAGACCCACCCAGACCTGCTATATCAGAGTCTTAGGGTTGAGGGCCAGCCGCCTATTATAACCAGCTATCTTGATGTTTCAAGTGCTTATTAAAGTTTAGGAAGCACAGGGATAGTCATCTCTACTTAGGCAATGAGGTTTTGTTAATCTTCATAGAGGTGCAATTATGGGAGGAAAATGGTAGTGAGTAGGAGATTGTGGTTGATAATGATGTACCTACAGGATTACAGTGTGGGGGCAAATGAGAGAGAGTCATAAATACAGAGTCTGAGTGAACCAAAATGAGCCTTGGAGGGAGTAAATCTTACTGTAGACAAGCATCAAGTTTACCAACCAGCACAGATCCTACAATCTTGCAAGGATGCAAGAATTTTCTTAAATGGGTTAACAAGTAACTTCAGTTCAAAAAATTCCAACATTCAAAGTTTCTGTCCAGGAAAGGCAGGGCAGATGGGCCCAAACAGATGAAAAAAAGTAATTTGATGTGGGGGATTTCTAGGAATATATGCACTCCCTACTTGTCCATGCAGAACCTTATTCAGAGACCAGCCTGGCCTTTGCTAGAGAACTGGACTTCAAAATTGAAAGGGACTAACACAATGATGATGCTTTTATTATGGAAAAGAAAACATGATTTGCATACAGAGTCAGGTGAGTGCAGTGGTGACTGGGTCTCCCAGATGGAGGCCAGCTCTTCCTTCTGCCCTTTAAAGGGTCCAGCAACTTCTGACTTTGAGCTCTCAAAGCAGCTTCCTTGCTTGGTCATCTCAAACTCCGTGGACCTTTGTAGAACTGAGAAAATAATCTGGCTTTCAAATGGTAATTCTTGTATGTTTTCATAAAGATGTTGGTGATGATGACATGATGTTGCTGATGATGTAAAGTAGGCAATGCTAGTAGTAGATGTAGTAGGTGTTTCCCCTCTGTTTAATGTAGATGGCTTCCCAGAAAATTGCAATGTAGCTTTTCACATTTCACACACAAACACACACACGCCAGGCCCTATTCCCCTTTTAAAAAGGTTTTCCTCTCTGTCACTAACGGAGATTTCCTAGAATCACAACTTGGGTTGGAAAGGAGGGACATCACCAGTTGCTCAAGTTTAGTTCATGGGAAATAATCTCTGGCTACCCCAGCACCTGAGCGTCCTGGTGGATTTCATGACTGTATGCATTGCTCTTGATTTGCCTGCTAGTGTATGGGCACAAACAAGGGTTTGGAATTTAGAAATGGCAACAAATCTGCCTTTTAACTCTTATGACTACTTCTAAGAAAATTAAAGAAAATGCTATATGCATTAGATTTTAATTTGCTTTTCATATTCAGAGACCATCTGGAAATGTAATTATAGTTCAAACTTTTAATCTCCAGTGCCTAGACAAGCTTTTTAAAATTGTATTTGAATCTGTAAACAGACACGCTGGTTTTTTCTATAATGGCTTATTTGTTTTGCAATAAAACAGTGTAATGATTTAAAACAGGGTCGCATACCTGCCCATTCCCACCTGGACTGACACTTAGAATCTGGGATACATATGGATATTTAGTGAATGAGCCAAATCCCTGTTTTTCATTCCTGACTTTTAAGTACACTTTGTGTACTACAGTGGGTGAGACGTTAAGTTTCAGAATTAATCTAAGATGGTTCTGAACCCAGGTATCACCACATTTTGGCTTTGTGTCCTTGGCCAAAAGATTTAACCTCACTGAGCCTTGGTCTTATTTTTTGTAAAATAGGAGATTATAATAGCTTTGTCCTTGGGTTTGTTCTGAAGACTAAATGAGATGATATATGTAAAGAATTTAGTACTGTGCCTGGCACAAGTCAACAATAACAGTTTTGTTGTCATTACTGTTATTGTTTTAAAGTTGTAGCTACTATTTATTGTTATTTTATTTTAAAAAATTCTTGTCTGTTTGTCCCTTACATAAGCTATCTTTGGCATTAATTACATCTACAAATTCCCAGTTGTCACTTGATCTGATTTGCTTTACTTCCAATCACAGTGGTCCCTGCTCTTTAGCATGCAGGGCTACATTTGTCAGTGATTACCTTATGAAATACCCTGGTGCAAAGCCAGAATTTAATATGAAGATCTTGTCAGGAGAGCTACATTCCTAGTACAGTCACAATGTTGGCAAAGAATATAGTTGGACTAGAGGACTTTTTAGATCTTTCCAGGTCTGAGATCTGGGACTTCCAGAGTCTCTAATCTCCGTAAAGAGAACAGTAATGTCTTGTCCCATTTCTGTATGCAAGAGTGATGTATGTGATTCTGCCAGCTTTTTCCAGAATACTCACTACTAGTGACTAACACTTTTTAGTGTTAACCATCTAAAAGATTGGGAATAATGTCAGTTTGCATACCTATAAAGTAAAAATGATACCATGGGAAGGGTATGCTGCAGTATGAACAAGATAATATGTTTATAGCACCCTTCACAATACACCTTGCTCCATGCTAGCACGGTTAGACATTGTCTCTGGAATGCTACTGTGATACTTGTTCATTACGACCCCAGTGTAGGGCTCAGGAACTTAACTACACAACTGTGTCCCCACTATAACCCTGCTCTAACCAAATAGTCTTACAAGCCTCCAATGCCCTGACTGAATTCAAAGATGAGCTGATTTTTAGATAAACTTGCAAAGGAATATAACCTTAAATGATCTCCTATTTATAATTTATAAAACACACTTATACAAATTGATAATGATGTATGTTTGAATAATTCAAGAAACAGGATGTCAATAGATTTTAGCACCAAGTACCAAGAAAGCTTCTGCTTGTGAATATTAATTTGACTAATTTGAGATATTAGGCCATCTAGTATGGTAAGCATATTTGCAGAGTAGTAGGATTTTCGAAGGGTAATCTAATCAGAAATGGGCCAACTAGCATTTGTAAAAAATGTAACAATTACCTGAAGATCTCATATGAGATATTTTGCAACTGGCAAAGAGCAAGATACCCTAAGTAAAATGTAACTGAGCACCAAATTAAATATTGGGAAAATGTCTGGAAAGAATCCATAGTAAGTTGCTTTGTTTTGTACTGTGCTTTCCTCCTATTTATACAAATACATTTATAGATGAGTATAGACATTTATAGTCTGAGTAGTTTCATTTATATGACCACAAAAGTACAGGCAGCAAAAGCAAAAAAAAATAGGCTGGTGAGGCTTCTGTACAGAAAAAGAAACAGTTAAGGGAGTTAAAGGATTACCTATGGAGCAGGAGAAAATATTAACTGCTCTATATCTAATAAGGACTCAATATCTAAAAATGTAAGAAACTTCTACAACTCAATAACAAAAAAGTAATAATAACCCAATTAAAAAATGGAAGTGGACTTGAATAGACATTTCTTCAAAGAATGCATACAAATGTCCCACAGATACATGAAAAGGTGTTCAACATCACTAATCGTCAGGGAAACGCAAGTCAAAACCAAAATGAAATATCATCTCACACTTCTGAGCATGGCCATTATCAAAGAAACAAACTAGCAGAAAATAACAAGTGTTGGAGAGAGGATGTGGAGAAATTGGAACCCTTGTATATTATTGGTGGGACTGTAAAATAGTGCAGCTACTACTGAAAACAGTATGAATGTTCCTCAAAAAACTGAAAATCAAAATAATTGAAATCAGTTTTTCAAAGAGATATTTGTACTCCCATATTCAATGAAGCATTATTCATAGTAGTCAAGAGGTAGAAAAAGCCTAAATGTCCATTGGCAGGTGAATGGACAAAGAAATTGTTGCTCATGCCTATAATGGATTTTTTTTTTTTTGAGATGGAGTCTTGCTCTGTCGCCCAGGCTGGAGTGCAGTGGTGCAATCTTGGCTCACTGCAACCTCTGTCTCCCGGGTTGAAGCAATTCTTCTGCCTCAGCCTCCCAAGTAGCTGGGATTACAGGCATGTGCCACCCCACCTGGCTAATTTTGGTATTTTTAGTAGAGAAGGGTTTCACCATGTTGGCGAGGCTGGTCTCGAACTCCTGACCTCGTGATCTGCCCACCTCAGCCTCCCAAAGTGCTGGGATTACAGGCGTGAGCCACCACACCCGGCCACAATGGATACCATGAGATATCATTCAGCCATAAGAATGGAGGAAATTCTGTCAAATGCTATAACATGGATCAACTTTGAGGGCATTATGTTAAGTGAAATAAGCCAGTCACAGAAGGACAAATGCTATATGATTCCACTTATAGGAGATCTCTAAATCAGCCGAACCCACAGAAGCAGAAAGTGGAATGGTACTTGCTAGGGCCTGGGAAGGGCTGATCAGAGTATAGAGTTTCAGTCATGTAAGTTGTAAAGTTATAAAGATCTTCTGTAAACCATTGTGCTTATAGTTAACAATACTGTACTGAACACAAAAGTTTAAGAGGTTTAACATAATGGTTATTATATATGTATAATATATGTATATATAATACACTATATATATCTATTATATAGATATATCTATTATATAGATATATATATAATTTTTCATCATCAATGTGCTAAATCCTGAGGATACAAAGAATAAAAGTATATTTTGCTTTGTTCTTGTAACATAAACCTATATATAAATAAACAGAAATTGTAAGTCAGTATAAAAGCCAGATACTTCATCGTCCTGCAAGTATGTAAATGCATTTTAAAATGAACACCTTAGAAAGGGGATTGTGGATTCAGTTTCCAGTGACTAATTTATGTCTACATTGGGAGGAATGTGTAAGTCTAATACACGCTTTCTATCATTGTTTTATTTTAATCCTCCACACAAACTTGGGTAACACTATTCTGTGAACCACCTGAGGGACCAGCTTTGTAACCCTGAGTGGAGGTTAATATATATTAAAAAATAGTGTTATAATGAGTGCACTCCAGTCTCCAGAATCCAGGTTAAACATGTCATCATGACCAGAGGCCATTGCTAATTTTACTTTCATGTGAATCTCTTTTTAGGCTTCACATCTAGTTGGGATTATTTAGAAATGACCAAGACTACAATTATTATACACAGTTTATTAGAAAAAGAAAAGGCATTTGCCTTTATGTTATTGATTTATTTACTTGTGTTAGTTTTAAGAAAAGACAAACAGATCAGATATAGAAACACAGCAATGCTATTTTCTATCAAATTCCTCTGGGTGTCTCATGAAAATCTTGCATATTGAATTTTAAATCCAATTCGTGCAGCCCAGAATGACATTTCAGTATATTATGAGTTGTAGTCAATATATTGATTACAGTCTCTTTGGGCTTACAATGATTAAAGACCATCACATGGATACAGTATTTGTTTAGCAGACAATTCTCAAGATTTTCATGTGTGATACAGAAGCCCTAACAATTATATTGTATGTGTGCCAAATGTTTTTCAAGGCTATTGAAAATAAGAAAATTTAATTAAAATGGTGTGAATTCATTTAAATTTGTATGGAGAGAATGGGAGATATAATTATGAGCCTGTTCTTGGTTGTTTATTGCATGAAGTTGGCTACTTGGTAATTTCAAGACCATGGTAAACCAGGGTTATTTTGAAGTCATCAACAAGTCATCCTTGGAAAGAACTTCCAATTCTTAAGCACCTTATACCTGCCTGGTATGCTAAACATACAAACTCATTTACTCTTCACAGCCATCTTCCACAGAAATGTTATTATTTCCAAATGTGGAAACTGAGACTTCTAGAGGACACGTAGTTTGCCAAAGGCCACACAAATCCAGTAGGGCTGAACTTAGAATGAGGCCTCCAAAACTGCAAGTAAAATTTAAATAAATACAAAATAACTTACTTTGATTAAATCTGGACTACATTGAGAAAGCCCTTGTTTTGTTTTTATCACACAGCTCTCATAAAATTATTATTATTTTTTAATTGCAAAGTATGCTAAGTACAAAATGGTAGCTCCAACTTTAGTCTGAATAACTACAATCTCCACTGAGGGATTTCTTTCCAACAACAGTGTTCCATGGAAGCAGAGATGACTTTTGTGGTCTCAAGTGGACTTGGCCCTCAAAGGGGAAGCTGCCTCTGAGGGTGGGGTTATTCACTCCAACTCTGGGGGCTGTGAAGCCATCTCCAGGGATGGCATGACCAGTTGGGTCTTGAATGGAGAGTTACATAAAACCTCAGGAATTAATGATTTAATACCATATTCTGTATTTATTTTCTTATTTTTTCATGAAGATCTTCATACCATAGGGTCTCAAATATTTAGGAAAAAAAATGTTTGGATTAAACCTTCTATCACATTACTCTTGCCTTGAATTGTGAATTTTTAAAAATGAAATTTCAGTTGGGATCACTTTTGTGTCCAGTTACCTAATATATATATAGGCCTAATCAATAATAAACATGACTACTATTTATGCATACCAGGTGCTCTGCTAGGAGCTTTTGTTTAATTAGCCCAGTACACTCACACAGCCCATATGAGACTAGTATTGTAAACCACATATACAGATGAGATAATGGGGGTTTAGAAAAGCTCATTAGCTTGCCTAAATTCACCAACTAGTGTGATTAAAATTGGATGTGAATGCAGAGCTAGTTGATTCGGAAATGGGTGCTTTAATAATACTATTCAGTTCCTATATTTTTTAACATATCCCCACATAGTGTATTAACATGTTCTTAGAGATATATGGAGAAGGAAAATTCACCTAAAAATCTATACCAGGGAACAGTTAGCAATCTTTGTTTAGGTTCATCTGAAGTTTCTGTAGGCAGTTTTCTGGAATAAGCTTCTCTATGGCTGGTATTGCATCAGCAGCAGTTTCAATAGGGCAGTCTCTGTGTCTAGAGCTCAAGAAAATCAGAGCCTGGGTCATGGTAGGTAGGCAAAGGCTGAGGCAGCAATGTCACTCTTAGGAGGGAAGCAATAACCTAAGCCAAATAAATGGTCATAGTACACCCTCAACCTAAGGTATTGTCACAAACAGGGGGCTGGAGCCTGGATTCATTCATCAAAGAGCATGCCTGTTGATTGTGCAGAAGGCATCCATTTTAGAGAATTTGGATCTTTGAGACATGGTAGAGCAAACAAAACAAATGACATTTATTTCACACTTGATATATGCCAGACATTATGCCAGGCAATTCATTTGCACAACTTTATTGTATTCTTATCAAAATCTATTGAAAAAAGTATTGTTATCTCATTTCAAGATGAAGATGCTAGGACTTAAAAAAAAGTTTTTGGATCAACATTATACAGCTACTAAGCAAGATACTACGATATAAACCCTTTCTGTGCATCTTTCCACAGCCCAGTGCTGTTTTCCTGGAGATTGCTACTGAAAGTCATTTTCAACCTCATACCTGGAAAGATAGGGAAGCCAAGGCACAGAGAAGATGAATGATTTCTCTGAGGTCATAAAACTATTAAGTGCCAGAACCAGGTTTTACTGCCAGTCTATTTGATTTCAAAATTATTTCAATTAGATCATTGCCATCTCTATGTTAATATATCGTTAATCCTTAAGAAAACTGTCATCTGACCCAAACTCCCACACCAGCAGCCAACTTGCTTCTTTGCTTCTGTTGCTGCAAAACTCTTTTAAGATGTATCTACACTCAGGTTGGCAGTTCCTCTACTTCTGGCAGCCAGTTCCTCTACTTCTGTTCTCCTAACTTTTTCAGATTGCTTTTCCCCTCTCATGCTCATACAGAAGTCATCCGGATCCCATACTGCTCAATCGATGACCAATTCCCAGTCTTGGGTGATCTATCAGCAAGGCCATCTTGCCCTTCTATTGGGTAAACTTTGTTCAAATGGCTCCTAGTGTCATATATACTCAGTCTTTCTCCTACCTTGCTGAACACCCTTTCTTACTTCTCTCCAAGCTCTTCACACAGGAGCATCTTTTTTTTGATGCTCTTGTCTCTTGCTTTCTCCTCATGACTTTGGTGAATTTATCCCATGTTCATAACTCTATGTATCACCTACATTTCAACAACATTAAAAATTATAGCTTCAGCTGAGACCTGCTTTCCAAACTCTAGACTTGTATTTGCAAATGTCTACCTTATATCCCTATTTGGCTGTCTAACAGATATTTAAGACAATATCTCCAGTACTTGATTCCTATTCTTCCCTCAAAACCTGCTTCACCAGCTGCCTCTCTCATCTCAAGAATCTGCATCTTTCTCATTATTGCTACTGTTAACACACTGATCCAAACCATTATCATTTCTTGTCTGGATTATTTAAAATAAATAATAAAAAACTAAATATTTAATGGGATTTCCTACTTCAAACTCAGTTCATCTAGGGTCTGTTTTCAATATGGCAGCCAATATGGCAGCGTGACCAAAATGTGTCCCGTTATGTCATTCCCATTCTCAAAAATGACCTCACCATCTGACTCAGAAACAGTTGAAACATTTACAATGGTCTTCTTCTGAGCTCCTCTCTCTTTCTCTACACCCATCATACCATCACATTCCAGCTGTAGGATGTTGGCTGTAGAATTTTGCACTGGTTGAGTTGCCCTATCCCCAGATATCAGCTTTAATAACTACCTCATCCTTTTCAAGTCTTTGTCCATGTTTTACACTCTCAGTAATCCCTACTCTGAACTATCTAACGAAGTAAACTGCCTGCCATCTTATTTTGTCCTCCTGATTCTGCCTATGCTGTTCCCATAAAATATATATATATATATATATATAAAATAAAGATGCATCGCTTTCTAACACTCTAGATAATGTGTTTATTTAGCATGGATATTGCTTATTGTTGGTTTTCTCCCCTAGAATGTAAATACCACAAGGGCATAAATTTGGTCTTTTTACCACTAGTGTATTTTGAGCACTTAAAACAGTGCCTGAGACATAATAGGTCCTCAAAAAATACTTGTTGAATGAGATAATAAAAGTAAGTATATTGCAGACCTTTTTTAGCCATCTTAACTTTGCAGAAATTTAAGTATCTAATCTGAAGTATCTGAGGGTACATTTTTCCCCTCATAATCTCTGCTATTTAACTAGTGTCTAATTTCCTACCAATTAGTCTATGTAAATTTATTTCAGGCTTCATATAAACCACTGAGCAGCTCAATGATATTGATCTTTACTGCCATTTAATGGGGTTGGTCAGTGATCAACTCCAGGCAAGACCCTGAATCAGCTTTTACTTATCTGCCCTCTGGCATGTAAATAAGTGGACAAATGTCTGCAAACTCATGAGACCCTTCCTCTTTTCCTTAAATGTTGTCATATGCCTATCTGTGCTCTTTCTTTGGTTAGAAAAATAAAGGGAATTTAAAATCTTTGGAATAACAGGAAGAACTAGAATCATTCATAAGTATTTTCTTCAACTTTACTCTAATTGCCCTAAGATTAATCTCTTGTTACAACAGCAAAGTCTAGCCTCTCTAGAATTCCTTGAACACTGTATTTCAATAATTTGATCCTCATGGACAGTGAATCTATCTGTCACAGTCAGTTGTCCTTTCACTCTTTGAATCAATTGGCGTTTACCCATATCAAACTCTATTTGTCCATCACTTCTAAAACTCTTGATAATTTCCAATTGCTCATGGAGCTGAGCTTGAAGGTTGACATGGATCATCCATTCTTTCCAGAATGACAAATAGCATTACATGGTGATCCTCACATTTTATCTTAATTTCTTGGCAAATGTTAATTTAATTTTCTGCTAAATGGTTTCAATCTCATGCAGAACCAAAGTGAACTAAGTTAACTATCTCAGAAATATCCCCTGTCTTGTCAGGATAATTATTTCTTTCATTTAAATGAAAATTAAGTAACACTCTCTGGTGATTTTTTTAGATCATCAACATAATTTCTGATGTCACTGTGAACCTCTGAGACACGTTAAGCTTAAATTTCCCCCTAGGCTCAAAGTGGTTATATGAATTTACTTGTTCAAAAGAGATTGCATAGAAACCTAACACAAACTGACGGCATCTTGGAGCTAAAAGTAGTCTTAGGTATTATGAAACCCAGTCATAACAGAGTTTGCAAGTAGAGAAACTGAAGCTCAGAAAGGAAAGTTGAATGTATAAGTTCACATTGCACCAAATTGGGCAGAGACGAATAGCAAACCTTGGTCTTTTGACTTAGTCCAATAAAGCTATAAAATTACATGCAAATGTTGGTGAATATTTGCAGAACATTTGTTTGAGAAACGTGTCCTTAGCAATTTATCACAAAGGTCAGTGATCTCTCTAATGTTAGGCACCAAGGTCCACTTCACTATTTTACAGACACAGTTGGCCCAGGGTCCATGTAAAGTTAATCCAAGAATCCATGTAAAACTAAATTGAGCTTTGTATTCAGTTTTAAACAATAGTAACTTCTTTCTTACTAATGAGCATGGATGGATTAGTTGGGTATCCCTGCTGGGGCATTGGATTGCTGTGACTTCAGTGCTCTCTGGAACAAGCGCAGTCCAGGTGCCTGTGTGTGGAGAAGATAAAACACTTGATGTTCAGGTTTGTTTTTTTTTTTAATTTCAATTTTTATTTTAAGTTCTGAGGTACATGTCTAGGATGTGCAGGTTTGTTACATAGGTAAATGTGTGCCATGGTGGTTTGCTGCACCTATCAACCCATCACTTAGGTGTTAAGCCCAGGATACACTAGCTATTTTTCCTAATGCTCTCCCTACCCTGACCTAACCCCCTAACAGGCCCCAGTTCGTGTTGTTCCTCTCCCTGTGTCTATGTGTTCTCATTGTTCAGCTCCTACTTATAAGTGAGGACATGCGATGTTTGGTTTTCTGTTTCTGTGTTAGTTTGCTGAGGATAATGGCTTTCAGCTCCATCCATGTCCCTGTAAAGGACAAGATCTTGTTCCTTTTTATGGCTGCATAGTATTCCATGGTGTATATGTACCACATTTTCTTTATCCAGTCTATCACTGATGGACATTTGGGTTAATTCTGTGTCTTTGCTGTTGTGAATAGTGCTGCAATGAACATACATGTCCATGTATCTTTGTAACAGAGTAATTTATATTCCTCTAGGTATATACCTAGAAGAAAATATAGGAAATACCATTCAGGACATAGGGATGGGCAAAGATTTCATGATGAAAGTGCCAAAAGCAATTGCAGCAAAAGCAAAAATTGACAAATGGGATCTCATTACATTAAGTAGCTTCTGCACAGCAAAAGAAACTATCATCAGAGGAAACAGGCAACCTACAGAGTGGGAGACCATTTCTGCATTCTATTCATCTGACAAACATCTAATATCCAGAATCTACACGGAACTTAAACTTACAACAAAAAACAGCCCCATTAAAAAGTGGGCAAAAGACATGAACAAACACTTCTCAAAAGAAGACACTCATGAAGCCAATAAACATATGACAAAAAGTTCAACATCACTGATTATTAGAGAAATGCAAATCAAAACCACAATGAAATACCATCTCACACCAGTCAGAATGGCGATTATTAAAAACTCAAGGTACAACACATGCTGGCAAAGTTGCAGAGAAATAGGAATGCTTTTACACTATTGGAGGGAATGTAAATTAGTTCAACCATTGTGGAAGACAGTGTGGCGATTCCTCAAGGATCTAGAACCAGAAATATCATTTGACCCAGCACTCCCATTACTGAAGTTCAGTATTTCTAAACAGAGAAGATAATTAGTTTTTTATCTTCTGTTGACTTCTACCTCTCCTCCGCAAAGATTTCAATTAGTAAAAATAAAAGCTAACACACACATAGGTAAGAAAACTCAAATACGATCTCCTTTTGCAAAATTTTTATTATGAGATTTTGAAATAATAGGACGTGTGATGATATGTAAATTCCTTCCACTATAGCTTTTGAGGTTGTGTGTGTATGTGTAAGTGCGAATGTGTGTGTGTGTGTGTGTATGGATTTGCGTGAGAATTAGATATTAACATTAAAAAACTTATTTTTCCATCATATATCAGAAAACATGATTTTTAATAAATGTATCATCTAATATGCAAAGATGTATTACAAGAAAAAAATTAATATGCCTGCTTTGCCACTAAATCCATCACCCCCAGGCATTCTCATTCTCCCTTCTAAAGCCCATTTTTCATCTGTAAGTGAAAGAATTGAACTAGTTTGCTAAGACCCTTTGTTAATAATCAGTGTGTATGTGGTGACTTGCTACTAAACTCAAACTGCAGGTCACCTCCACCATTTTCTGAGACAGAAATTGTATGAGCAGTTTTTTTGCGTGATTGAAAATAATATATGCATGTGAGACATTGGCAGCTAAGAACTTGGCTATTATATGCATATCAGACACCGTGATAGGCTGATCCTACTCTTTCTTTTTTCTTTTTTTTTTTAATTTTTGAGACAGTGTCTTGCTCTGTCACCCAGGCTGCAATGCAGTGGCACGATCTCCACTCACTGCAACCTCCACCTCCCGGGTTCAAGCAATTCTCCTGCCTCAGCCTCCCGAGTAGCTGAGATTACAGGTGCGGGCCACCACACCCAGCTAATTTTTGTATTTTTAATAGAGATGGGGTTTCATCATGCCAGGCTAGTTTCAAACTCCTGACCTCGTGATCTGCCCGTCTCGGCCTCCCAAAGTGCTGGGATTACAGGCGTGAGCCACTGCGCCAGGCCGATCCCTGCTCTTTCTTAATCATAGCTTTGAACAGTTGTAGTCCCAAGGCTATCCCTCTTATGGTTTTAAAGTTGACCCTTCTGGCATTATAATAAGTTATGCACTCTAGGATTTTTCATTGAGAAAAGACTAAGAATTGATTTTAATCTCAGATCTTACAGTTCAGCAAACAGCTTTTTCCTACTTGATTTTTTTTTTGTCCCATATCCCTTTCCCATGCATTTCTCTTTTGCTCTTCTCTCCCTTCCATTTACCCAACTAGGTCTCACATCTCAGAATCAGATGTAATAGATTTTTGTGTTTCCACCTAGTACTGTTTTCCCAGAGTAATCTGGGAAAGTTGGGCACGCCTAGCAGACAACATAGACTTTGTGGAATATCCTTCTTCCACAACTTAAAGGGTCTTCTTTACAAAATTACAAATCTTTACAAAATTACAGTTAAAAGGTCTTAGCAGAAGCCCTAAGAAAGTGGGAGCCCAAAGGGTAAGCCTCATCAAATTCCTGGTAAATCCATATATGTCCATCTCTGTCTGGCTGTGTCTACTTTTGTATGTTCCAATGTTTTAGAGTGCAGACACACACACACACACACACACACACACACAAAGATGCAAAATGCTGGTGTCCTGCCACTTTCTCTTTGGCAGAATGTGAGACTAAAAACATTCTCAGTGAGTTCTTGCCTAAAGAATGTAGGACTATTTTGAAGGCTCCAGAGGACAATTAATAAGATTTTATTTTTCTTTTTATTAGAATTTACATTTATTGACGTTCATAAAGAAGCTGATAACTGCTTAGAATATGAACTCAGATATGGTCTCTCTGACAAGATGCCCTCCTGCACAAAATGTTGGCATTAGCATTATGCATGCAATTGATGTGATATATTCAGAATTACTCTGAAAGAAAAGAAGAAAATGTTAAGGAGACTGATACATTCAAACAATTTTAGGTTTGTAACATGGTTGTTAGCGATAAAATTTGAAGAAGAATTAAGGGTGAGAGAAAAAGTAATTGGCCTCCAGTAAACACCTCTCACTGCCAGTACAAGGCAAGGAGACAAGGTCAGCATTCATATTTCATAAGCCTAGTAATAACACCACTGTAATCTGCACAGCTACTTTGGATGTGAGATGATATTCTATTTCTGGGGGAGTCAGCTTTTCTTTATGTACAGTATCTCTCTTTTCCCATTTAAAAATTATTTCCATTCATTAAAAAAGAGATAAAAGAATTACAAAACTACCTCCCTTGTTCCCAGAACTCTCTATTGACATGATTGTTTATTTCTCTTTCTGCCTTTAATGTCTTTATAAGTATTTATTTAACTTATTTGAGAATATATTGTCTATGTTTTATCCTGTTTTATTCTCTTTACATATTTCTATGCTAACATTCCTCATTGTAAACAGCCTTTTTGCAGATGTTTACCTTAAATATCAAACACCAAATATCAAAGTTTACTAAACTTTTCCTCCCATTGTTAAATATCTAGATTAATTCCAAATTTTCTTCATTAAACATACATTGCCGTGAATATTTTCTATCTAATCAGTTTCTTTATTTTAGATTACATTCTTAGAATATATTCCCAGAAGTAGAATTAGAGACTCCAAGGATTTGAATCTTTTAAAAAGTGTTTTTAATACATGGTTCCAAATCTCATACCAAATGGAATACATTGATTTTCATATTTAATATCTAAATTTGTGAAATATTCTGCTGAATTAACTTTGATTTTTTTCCCGTCAGTCTTTAATTAAAAGTTGCTGTCTCTCTCAGTTACAGGACTAGCTACCAGATTTGAACTGACTGCCAGTCATTCTGGGTAAAAGCGTCAGGTTTTTCTTAACTCTGTTGAGTATATATCCTATTCAAAAAACTGAGTTTTTTGTGGGGCAAATAATTAGCATGAAATGCAAGTTGGCTCTCTTCATCCTTCTCGTTAAATCTTGCATACCATCTTAAAATACTTGAACTTTTCTTTTTAATCCATAATAGGCAAAATAAATACTCAAATTAGCAAACAAAAATCAAAATAACAGTCTTTATAAAAGAATAGTATTTCACCATGATTAACATTTTCATGTGTGGTGCACACTTATACAAAATGAGTTTTTGAAAATTTTATTATTCCCCTGCAGCCCTCCAGCCCAGAATAATCACCATTCTACTCTCTACTTCTCTTCAGCTTTTTTAGATTTCACGTATAAGTAAGATCATAAAATATTTGTCTTTCTGTGTTTGGCTTATTTCACTCAGCATAATGTCCTCCAAGGTCATCCATATTGTTACAAATGGCAGAATCTTCTTCTTTTTAAAAGCTGAATAGTACTTTAGTGTGTGTGTATGTGTGTGTGTGTGTGCGCATAAAATAGAACCACACTTTCATGACTCATTCATCCATCAGTGGACAGTTGGATCATTTCCATATCTTGGTTATTGTGAATAATGTTACAGTGAACATGTGGGTACAGCAATTTCTTCCAGATGGTGATTTCATTTTCTTTGGATATATACCCAGAAGTGAGATTGCTGGACAACATGGTAGTTCTATTTTCAATTTTTAGGAGCACTCATACTGCTTTTTCATAATGGCTATACCAGTTCTCCCCACCAACGATAGACAAGGGTTCCTTTTTCTTCACATTCTCACCAACACTTGTTGCCTCTTGTCTTTTTCATGATAGCCATCCTAACAGTTTTGAGATGATACTGTGGTTTTGATTTGCATATCTCTGCTGACTAGTGATGTTGCACATCTTTTCCTATATCTGTTGATCACTTGTATGTATTCTTTGGAAAAAAATGTCTGTTCAGGTTCTTTGCTCATTTTTTAATTGAGTTATTTGGTTTTTTTTTTTCTAATGACTTGTGTCAGTTTTTAAAATGTATTAGATATTAATCCTTCATCAGATATATGGTTTGCATATATATTCTCTTATTTTATAGCTTATCTTTTCATTTCATTGATTGTTTGCTGTGAAAAAAAATCCATCATTAAGGGGAAATAAACAAGGGTGATTTTTTTCTCACTTTGTGTTGATTTTTTTTTGAGACATAATTTGAGTTGTACATCACTAATTAGAATTGAGATAAAAAGATGGAAGAAAGCCACTTCCACAGCACGTTTTATATGAACTCGCAGGAAGCAGAAGTATGCAGAAGTTAGAAGAGGCACCTTGAGCTCAAAATGAAAAAATTCTGTCTTTTAAACATCACTGCTTGTCTTCATCAGAAACCAAATGTGACTTCTTGGTAGGGATGTTGTAAAGGGGTTTACCATTGGTGGGTAGATGAATTCCATGAATTTAAAATTGCTTTTCACCTTTGAAATTTAGTGAGTTCATTACAGCTGGGAGGCAGACCTATGGGATTCATAAATGGCTGAGAAGAAAAGGACATGAGATTACTAGGAGAAAATACACTCTGATGGAAGAGAGAGTCACTCCCAACCGTTGGCTCAGGAGTAAGCTTTAGTTGTCGATGAAGAGGAGTGGTTTAGAGAATTGCCTGTTGCCTGTCACTCAATGTTGCCTCAACCCAGGTATTCATATGGCACTGTGGGGGTTCTTGAGAAAGCATAAGCAAAAACTTACAGAATTTTTTTCGGTAAAATCCTGTAAGCCATTAAGGTACACAGTGTATTATGCAGTAAATTTAGGTCACCCATTTCATGGCCCACAGCTCAGTTTGGGAAGCTTGTAGACTCCAGATGAGACTCCAGGGCATCAACAAGAAAGCATGATGAAAGCATTGACCAAGAAAGGTGGAAACATATTGAGTAGCAGGAACCAAAGCCCATTTGAAAAGGAAATGCCATTAGACACTGGTGGTTCTCAGTGGAAACACAAAGATGCCTTGAGAAGAAGAGTCTGGCCTAGTGACAAGTGAGGAGTACTGAATTCAGCTGGAAAAAGAATTCTCTTTTTTAGGCAAACTCCATACCACTTGAGGCAAAGAGCCAACATGTATTCCCTACAATCTGAGCTGTAACTCAGTTTGCTTTTGTTTTTTCAAACAGTTAAAAAGAGACTTGGCTGGTACTTTCAAAGGGGAAATTGAGATAACTAACAATTTTGGAGAAGGAATATTGCATTTTCAGGTTCATTTACTATGAATGCCTACCAAAGCAATTACAGACAAACCTTTCTTTCTTTCCTAGAAGATAATAAAAATGATAATTAGCAATCTGCTCCTTCATTTCTTCACATGTTCTTGACCTTGCCTTGCTATTTAGGGCTTACCATATACAGATGATTTTTAGAAAGAATATGATTTAATTTCTTTTAGAAATTAAATTTCTAACATTTAGAAGCTTCGTTTTCTTAAATATAAATGTTTTTTCAAATGGTCTCAAATGGTCTCTAAGCAAAAAATAGGACAATAGAAAAGACCTCTGTTGCTACTGTTTCTTACATTCTGGGAAGTTATATAAGCTGAATATGTGTGAATTGAATGATATATCTTTAAAATATTTATTGGTTAGGTATAAGTTATAAATCACCCATAATAGTTTAGTTAAATTTATTTTACTTTTATGATTATATACAGGGCAAACTAGAGACTTTGAGGTGTGAAAAACCTTCAGGTAAATTCTCACTCCACGGTGTACAGGCTAAGCCTCAGCTTGAAAGTTGTGATAATCTAACAAAGAGTTCTTGTGAAGGTTAAATAGAATGAAGACTAGAAAACATCTTGTACAAAACTCTCTGATTTCAAGTAGCCTTCATTGTGAGTATAAAGCTGAGACAAATGACCTTGAAAACTATATATGAATAAGGGCTAAAGTGTCAGTCCAGGCTGTAGTTGCTTGAGAAGGACAAGAAAATAAGGCAGCCATCAGAGCAGTGAGGACATATTGAAAAAGGAGAGGCATATGCTAGAACTTGGAGGAGGATAGGGATGTAGTAGGTCATCTCTGAGCCCCTACATAAGTCCTGAAGTCTCTATTTGATGCTTAGAATGACCATTACCCTGAAATCTTACAATTAGCCTCTTAGTTTCTTCCTAGGGAACATTTAATGATTACTGGCTCCATTAAGTGTTGCATTAAGCCAGAAATTCAGTGAAACCATATTAATCACATAAACGTAAAAACCAGAATTAGCCTCTGAGCTACTTTGTTCCTCAGTGTCCCCATTGCATATACTTGGCAAGTCCACCCAAACCTATCTCTTTAATATCCATGGGATCCGTCCATTTCTCTCCATGTTAACTTCCATGACTACATTTAATACTACCTTTTTGTAGGTTGAATTATTTCAGCAGTTTCAATTGCCATCCTTGCTTCCGCTGCAGTGCATTGTTCATACAAACAGCAGCTAGATCATTCTAACTTGCATCTGATCTGCTAAAATCCTTTCAGTGGGTCTTTAGAATCTTTGTCCTTTGGCAATAAGGAGGAAGCAGTAGAACAAGCTTGTGTCTGTTCTAAACAGTGACTATGCTGCTTTGGGTAGGAATCACTGGATTTATAGTTGGCCTATACTGAACTTTTGGTTCTATGTGTCTAAGGGGTACTCATCTTACATATGAAAAATGATCTTTCCAGTTGAAAAATGATGTTATGTATAAACCTGTGGAAAAACATGAGAGTGTCCTAAACTCGGGTATCAACAATAAGCCTAGTAAAATGGTATCAAGTTTAAAGGTCTAGATGGTAGATGGTTATTTAATGAGAGGTAAGGATGGAGTATGATTTAGATTTATAGGTAGACAATTGGGGGTATAATGTCGTTAAATAAGATAGGGAAAAGAATATGCTGAACTTTGCTAAGAGGGAAAATTAATAAATTTAATTTGAACATATTGTGTCTGGGATATCTCTACCTCCAGATAGAGGGGCTTGGTTGTAGGCTATTGTTGCAAACTATATGGAGCTGGTGAGAGGGATCCAAGCTGGAGGCAGATTTGGAAGAGATCAGGACATTGGTGATGTGAGAAGGAACAGATGGGAATGGGTGGAAATCTAAGCACGGCCAAGTAAGAAAGAAGTGGACTGGAGATAGAGCTGCCATCTATTGTCCACACTGTGCATTCACCTCCTACTATGACCCTAGTGCTTCTGCCTATGTCCTCCCTTAGGATATTTTCAGCACCGCAACAAGAGCAAACCTTTTAACATAGAAGTTAGGTCACCTCACTCCCCTGTCTGAAACCTGCCAAGGGCTCCCTGTTACACTCAGGTCAAAAGTCAACATACTTTCAAGGTTCCGCAGGCCCTCCATGACCTGCCAGCCCCTTCCCCATGGGCTTTCTGGTCTCTTATTTTAAACTCTCCTGGCCCCTTCATTCCATGGTCCCTTCGTTCCATTCCCAAGTGTTATCTGGCTTACTTATCTGCCAATATACCGGGGAGCCTCTTGCCTTAGCCCTTCTCAGTGGCAAGGCTATTCTCTCTAAAATATTATTTTCCCAGAAAGTACCATGTCTTTCTCTCTTTCCTCTCTCAGATCTGTGCTTAAAGGTTGACCATGCATCAAGTGTTGGTTGACCATATTTTAGTAACTCAATTCTCTAACCACCAAAAATGGGACTTTTTAGTTCTATGTTCTGCTTTATCTTACTCCATAGCTGATATTATTAATATTTTTATCCTGCATATTTCATTATTTATTTGCGCATTGTCTCTCCCAATCAAAGTGTTAGCTTAATGAGGGTAAGGATTGTGTCTCTTCTGTTCACTGCTGTGTTCATGACACCCCAAACACTGCCTGGCACATAACATAGGAGCCGCTCAGTGAATGATTGCTGAAGGACTGAATCAAGATGGGGATGAATGAAATCCGAAGAGATCCAGTGTCTTAAGTCATAGGCAGCAGAGAGAGGGTTCATTTGAATGCTATGGGTGAGATAAGCATATGTCAAGAAATATCTTGGCAGGAGTTGACATAACTCTGATTGCTTTCTCTAAAAAAATTAGGGTTTTTTTTGTTTGTTTTTTTGTGTTTTATTAGCAATCTAAAAGTCTCTAGAGTGAGCTTGCCAGGTTCTGGAGTCCTGTTCCTCATGTACTAACACACACTGATGTGTGAATGGTAGGCTTGTGTGAACCTGTTCAGGTCAGCAGTATCCTTCCCTTGCTCTGATCATTTTAGACTCAATAAAAAAATCAGTTTAGCAGCACAACTTCCCAGGTTTTCTTGGTGTTTGTGTTTTCCCTCAGATACATTGTAAAAGGCTTTATTGCAGGGGCAAAGTACTTTCCTTCTTCTCATACCTTCCAGTGCTAAGCACCTAAATAAAGAGCAATTGAAATTTTATTAATTAAATATTAATTGCATTTTTCTGATATTTCAATGAAAACTTCTAAGAAAAGGTGATTATATTTCTATATTTTGGCAAGAACACTGGAACCGAAGTCAGGAAATATAAACTGGAGTCTCCTGTCACCTACTTTTTAAGTGAGTGACTTTCGAAGAGTTACAAATTTCTTTGTGCCTCAGTTTCCTCCTATATTAATTGTAATAATTATCAGTCCTGCCTTAAATCACACTAGTATGGAATTTAACAAGGTAATTTAAAAATTATTTTCTATAACATAAAACTTTATGAATTTCATTTATATAACTGTCTGTGGAGAAACTACTTTTCCCTAGGATTTCTTTGTAGATCCTCTGAATCAGACAATTCTAGGTCTTAGTATGTGAAATGCACATATTTTAGATAGTCGACTTATTTAAAATGTTATTCTGTTTCTGGATTTGCATTCTTTTGCCTTCCAATTTGATTTGTCTGATATGTTGTGAAGAGTATATGACTAAATGATTATAAGGTATTTCTGGAGTTATTAAACGGTGCTTCTTGTCTCAATGGAAATAACAGTTTCATTTTGTAGCTTATCCATTTTGACTAGAAGAAAGCCCAGAAGTGAATCAGGGTGTGTCTATATTTTGTACCTCCTAATTGATTTTCAAAATGATATAAGTGAAACAGAAGCGAAGGGAAGATTGAAATTTACAAGCTGTGTAAATATTTCCCCATAGAAATAAGCTTATGAACTTTAGAAGAGGGTGAGGGAGAGATGCATTTTAGAGGCATGACCAAAATGAATACTGAAAGATCAGACCCACATGGACTGAATCATTAGCTTGGAGATCTCAGGAAAATCTGGTGAGTAGAATCTTCTGAGAGAAGGAACTTTGGTAGTAGAAAGTAGGGTGTAAATCCACTGATTTCAAGAAGATGTAAGAGTTTTACCTCCACTTGGTAAGGCATGTATATCTGAAGTCAGTTTCTGTCTGCTATGGACTGACTTGAGGATTGACTACTCAATCAACATATATCTATAAAATATCATGCACTAGGCAAATTGTGGGCACTGTGGTGAAGAAAGCTTATGACAGTAGATCTCACGGGGCCCTCAATCTATTTAGAAAGGTAGTTTCCAGGCCAATAATTTAAATAGTTTTTGAGTGTAGGGCAGAACACTGTGGGATACTACAACTTTGGCCAGTAAGGACACCTAACCTGGTTTGGAAGCTCAGGAAAGATTATATCAAACCCAGTACTAAACATTTAATATCCCAAATTCCAGGGTTTACACAACCTCATACACAGTCATACTACTTATGAGACCAGTGCTTTCATTTGCATGCAGTCAAGCTATGGAATGTTGTTCAGTCACTACACTTCATGCTTTTGAACTAATGTAGTGGGGTGTACTTTAAAGGAGGCAGACGGCCTGGACAACAGCTGTGTATAAGGTAATCTTTGAATGTCATCTGTTAAATGGAAAAAAAATGCCACTCTTACTTCTCAGTTTGCTCTGAATATGCACTGAAATACTGCCTGTAGAAGATGAACCAAAGCTGACACTTATTAATGTTAGGTCTGATTTTCTGAGCCATTGATTGTGACATTATAGTAAGCTCTTGTCTGTGGATTTGGTTTGTGGTCTTGATTCACCTTGCAGAAGGGACGGGTTTCTATAACTCTGTGCCCTTCATGAATGATCAGTCAGATGCCTTCTAATGGGGCACTCATTGAGTACTGTCTTGTGTTTGCAGCCTGAATGTTCTTGTGTTGGGAAGAGCCATACCAGAATCTTTCAGATAAAGCAATGGGACACATTGTCATGTATCACACTGTTATCAACACATCTATAAGTGGCCCTTTTCCTCAGCATAGCATTTTTTTTCCTGGGTATTATGGATGAGTTTCCCATGCTGTGGTGTAGCCAAAGTTGTCCTATTAAGGAAAGTCACAGCACTTTGGATGGTAAGGCATGATAATGCAATTCTGAAGGGGATTCTTAATGTACGGATGATCAAAAGGTGACCCTAAGGGCAAATTGATAATTGTGGGAAGCCCAGTGCTTCCCACCAGTGTACAGAGATAGGTTAATTTATATTTCCCCACAGGTGTTTGTCTGATAGACTAATGATGTTAAGCAGAATAACAAAATCTGCATTTAAATGAATGTATTATAATGTGGAAAAGTAAGCCCAAATACAAAGTAAGCGCCATCACGTTTGGGATAAAAACAAAGTACAGTATCATTAGAGTCCTCTGGGAAAACGTTTGTCTGTGATTTATGGTCTTATTTTGGAGCGGCTCTTATAGACCCTCCTGGAACCCAGCTAATGAATAAATGATAATTCTACCCCTCTATACATCACACTTTTTTTTACTTTTTTTTTTGTTACTACAGCATAAACACACATTCCCATTAGATTAATGTTTCTAATAAATTAGGAAAAATGCTAAGTAAGAAAGAAAGGGAACCAAAATGGAAAATTCAGTGAAGTACAGACTCTATGGGCCAAGAGATAATTTACTTTTATTAGTTTTTTCTTTAAGACCATAGTGAAAGTAATGATCTAGCTATTTTTATTTTAAATATTGCACAGATAATTTTGGAATCGAAAGTGGAACCAATTATTTAAAGTCCTACCCTCGTCTTCCCTGAGACTTAAATAGAAACAGTAGGGAAATGCAAAGTATTTAACTGGTATGAAACTGAGAGCAACTAATCAGAAAGAATGTCAGGCATAATACAAGAGTAGAAAGAATCCTAGCTGTTCACTGATGTGCCATGTGTTAACTCTTTAGTCTTTGAATAGCGGGAAGATCTGAGGACCTAGAGAAAGGGCCAGAGTAGCCACAGGGGTGGTCATGTGGCATCCAGAGAACCTGTAGCTATTTACCAACTGATTGAGAAGTATTTCAGTGTTTTAACAACTGGTATCACTGTACATGCCAGTGGACTGTGAGCCCTGAAGAGATAGACCATTGAGTTCTATTTTCTTGTCAAATTGGGCCACAGGAAGTCTCAGGCTCATTGAGATCTAGTTAGGGCTCTGTCACTCACTAGCTGTTGACGTTTGTGTAAGTCAGTGCACAATCACCCCAGTCCCTTTCTCCCCCTTTGCAGTGATATGGAGCTACTACTACCTACTTGGTAAGGCTGGTAGATGCATATGACTAGATAATTGCATGGGATACTGCAATGCAAAGTCTGAAGCATGATACCTGTCTAACTGTGGAGAACCCCTGATTTTGCTTTGTCCGGGATTCTTTTTCCAACCTCACTTTGAAGAACCCCTGAAGGCACTGAACATCTAGATATCCTACATCCTGTGGCCAAGGGGCAGGCAGAAAACCTAAGCTCATGCAAATTTATACTATCTCCTAACAATTGTATTTTTAAGAAGAGTGCTACAAGGATTTTTAATGGTTAAAATTTATTTATCTTGAGACAAGTGCCATTAAGAGACTGTGCAAGGGCCAGGCGCGTGGCTCACGCCTGTAATCCCAGCACTTTGGGAGGCCGAGGCAGGCGGACCACAATGTCAGGAGACTGAGACCATCCTGGCTAACACGGAAAAACCCCTTCTCTACTAAAAATGCAAAAAAACTAGCGAGGCATGGTGGCACGTGCCTGTAACCCCAGCTACTCGGGAGACTGAGGCAAGAGAATCACTTGAACGTGGGAGGCAGAGGTTGCAGTGAGTCGAGATTGCGCCACTGCACTCCAGCCTAAGCCATAGAGCGAGACTCTGTCTCAAACAAAGAACAACAACAAAACAAGAGACTTTGCGAGGAATGTTGCAAGCTGTCCCAGTGCTGCCTTGATGCCTCTTCAGACAAGGTACTCCAACTTTTCCTTTGATTCCTTATAAGTAATTTCTTCCAACAAGTTACTCTTTTGCTTAAATCTGACACATCAAGTTTTGTTGCCTGCAGTCACAGAAACTTTTTGTAGAGAAGTGGCCCCTTAGTTTTCAAAGAAACACAAATGCCACTGCTTGGGGCTTTCCTCTATCTGCTTGGAATTTCTTCTTCCTTCCCTCTCTCCCTTCCTCCTTTTCCTCTCTTACTCCCTCTTTTCCTGCCTACCTACCTTTCCTCTTTCTGTCTCCTGTCTTTCTGTTTTCAATTGTGATATGTAGAATCAATTCTGCATCTTCTAAATAAATCAGCTGTGGAGCAGGCTTCCAGTTTCATGGAATTTACATGTTTGAGGAACAGATTTGAGAAAGCAGTCTAACAATTTTTTATGCATTACACTATAAACCAGGAAATGTATCCAGAATGAACTAGTTACTCACATAAATTAATTCTTAGGTAAAGCTCACATGCTATGGAATGGTTTACCTGACTGAATGATGTCTATTCCTAAGGAAGTAATTTTCCTGATTGTAGCTGTGATCACGTCTCAGGGTTTTCACACAGCATCTCAGGTGGTTCTGTCTCCTGACCAATTTCACTGCCTTTGTGTGATTATCAGTGAAGTTACACAGCAGTACAGGTAAGATATGCTGTAAGGACTGCTGTTCATGTCAAAATGTAATCGTGAGGTGAAAATTGTGTTCAGAACAATGCTGTCCCAGGCCTATTAAGGACAAAGGAGAATGAAAGAGCAATGTGCTGTCATAAAACCTTGTATAATGATTTCAAGCCATGCTGGGCCCTGACAGCTGAGGGAGGAACAGGAATTGAGTTGGGACCATGCTTCCTAAACTTATGCAGCTAATTTAGTAGTAGGGATGTTGTCTCTCCCATGATGGGTTCGCAGTGTAAAGCTCCATGCCTGAGGGAGTTGGTACAATGTGGGCATGGGTTGATTTCTAGCAGTACAATAAAGAGAGAGAAGTGAGGTGAGAAGAGGAAGCTTATGGGCATGTTAGGCCCTGCCTGGGAGGTTTTGGAAATAAAAAAATAAAAACTTCATTCTGAGAAGGAAAAGAGTAATACAAGCCTTGGTGCAGGCTTTGCCTCCAAGCCTGAAGGGAACAGGTGTGAAAAACCTATATCCAGTCCACTAGAATAGCCCTGCAATGAAGACACAAAGCCTGTAGCTGGAGTGTGTCTGTGGATGCCACATCTGACTCTGCTAAACACAGCAGACCCAAGGGTGGGAGGCCACTGACCATCCTATCTCAGTGTCTGACCTGGCAGTTTTGAGCCTCTGGGTGGCTACTGGGACAGGCTGGAGAAGGTAGTGACCTCAGGTGCAGTATTTGGGACTAGGTTTCTGAAAGCTACTTGTGTATTCTAGAAACATGCCTGTTTCTCCTCTGTGCAGAAAATAGCCCCTAAGGAAGGGGAACATATACATAGAGAAGTAGTGACTGTTTGAATTAATCAATTTATTTATTATTTGTCTGTTTCTCTGCTGACTGCAGACAGAAAAAATAAAATACAGTGGAAGATCAGATAAGGGCAACTCACACTGTGACAAAGGATTTTACTATGGAAAACATTGTCAAATCATGGTACCTTGCCTATCCAATAGCATTTCTCTAATAAAATATTTTCTCAAGAAGGTTATTTTGCACCAATTAAACATAAGGCTTTGTCATTAAATGTTCCAAAGTTTAAATTGAGTTCCTGTGGGTTGTATGTGCATTTAGTAGTCTGACTGCTTTCCCACAAGAAATCAATATTTCTCTAAGATTTGTGGGAATATACTATTCATTCCAATAGAGACGATTAAAATGTTAACATGTAACAAACTGCAAATCTGGCATGGAATGCATTGTTTTCATACATGCGTTTAGAACAGAAACTCAGATTGGCCATTGTTTATGGGGAGTTAGAGTATATCAGACATGACAAATGTGTTATTCTCCCCAGATAAATGTATTTTAGCCTGTTGACACCAAAATGCTCAGGGACCTCAAGTTAAGACTGAAGGTGAAAAAGAAATACAATGGTGGAAGTTAAAACATCACCATCCTAAAAACAACTGTAGTAAAATTAAAATTCTGAAAATAGGCAACAGCAATGAAAACACCAAAAATCCAGAGACAATCAATATCCAAAATAATAACTACAAACCATTGAAAGCAAATCCTCAAAAGTATGTTTGAGGTTCATGGAAAAGACTACTTTTTAGACTCCACAAAGGTTGGTGGACTTGAAGTTGTGCACAGATCTGCATTTAGTGTTGTTTGCCACTTCTTCCTTAAATTTTCTGCTGACTTGAATTCAAAGCATAGACTTTATCGTTCAGACTGGTTTTTGTTTTTCTAGATCAACTGTTGAACCAAGTGGGATGCTGGAACGATAAGCATAAACTGGAACTCTTCCAGGCAAATCAGTATAATAGTCACCCTAATGATGACCCATTCCTGGGTCCTTCTCTCATGACCATTCCTTGTCAGTCTCCCTGCCTGTGAATTTCACTTTCGTCCACACTTCAAATGTAGAGTTTATCAGGGGTTCCATTTTTCTTCATCTTTGGGAGTGACAGAGTTTTCCTAGTGATCTTATACACTTACAACTTAACTCCCTACCTTGTTTCTCATGACATTCAAAGACATAACTTTATCTCTTAATCTATAGACCCACATGTTTACTAATTACTATCACAGAGTTTTCCATAAATAGCTCCAGGTGAACATTCCTAAACCCAAACTCATTCTCCATATCCCCCAAACTCCCCTCCCTCCTCTGTCTTCTGTCTTGGTTTTCACCGTCTAACTAGTTTTCTTCTCCTTGCCATACTTCTACTCTGCAATCAATGACAACAGAAACAGACTTTTCTTATTTTATTTTAAGTTCAGGGGTACATGTTCAGGTTTGTTATGTAGGTAGACTCATGTTGTAGGGGTTTGTTATACAGATTGTTTTGTTACCCAGGTGTGAAAAGTGTTGACTTAGAGCATATTTTGAGAAAATTATTATGCAAAAAGTATCTAGGTCTACATTTTCTGATGTGAGTTACATTACAAGAGAACCTCTTCAGTAACCACAGCTTGCTATAATTTCATGTTAGAAAAAGCACCATATTACAAGGATAAGACATGGGCACAAGCCAGTCAGAATGCATGCCTCAACAAATCACCATAAAGCCTGGCCCTAAACAATCAGTAAGCACTTATGATGTATAACAGCTAAATATCATTTTTGAAATTAAGTAAGACTCATGGCTCAGAAGGGGAACTAGGGGAGTGGCAAGACTCCAGGACACCACTGTGTTCCCCCACTAACTGGTTCTTCCATTTTTGTCACTGATTTACATGTGATAAAATACACATAGGATTATTGAATTCCTGACTGCATAATTACGACTGGTATTTTCAAAGCCAACAGAATAAAAGTGTTCAACCTGACCTATAGGATCCATTATGGTCAACCTCCTGTCACCTTTCTTAGCTCATATGCTGACACTCTCCACAACCTCTGTCCCTACCATTCTGTACTGTGCATTTGCTTTTCCTCCAACAGAAGAAAATGGGCCCCATTTTTCCGGGGCCTTTCTACTCCTGTTTTCTCGCAGACAAGGTTACTTCTCCCTGCACTTCCCTCCCTGTGCTGCTTACCAACTACCCCTGACCAAGTATCCCCTTTGTGATCTAGTGGATTCTAACTCATCCTTCAAGTCTCAGCTCAAATATACCATTTTCAGTGAAATATTTATTTATACCAAACTCCTCCATACCTCTAGAAGATTAATCATTTGCTTCCCTTGGTCTCTGTACATCCCTCTCTGCTAGCCCTCAACATACCACATTCCAATGATATCTATTTCACACACTATCCCCAGAGACTGAGCTTCCAGAGGCAGATACTAATCTTATCATTGTTTCCATCGTGCATCTAGTTAGGTCTCAATGGGTATTTGTTAGATAAATTTCAAATTCCCACAAGTGTGATGCTGACAGGTCATAAGCGCAGGCCCCTTCCATGGAAGAAGGGCTCTGCTGGTGAAACATGGACCATCCCTGTGCAGACATTCAGCAGAAAGTCTATGCACACTCTTTCTTATTTTGATGGTTTCAGTCCAGGTCTTGCCAGGCAACAGATGATATTCCCAGATGGTACTTTTGGAGAGACTTTCCCATAGGGATTATTTACCCAAGTATGGATAGAGTTAAAAGAACCATCAAGAAATGCTACTCCATTAGAACGGAAGGAACAAGGGGCAGAATGGTTATACCCAAGGTCCAGTTGAGAATAGGAGTCATGAAAGAGAGATATAAGATGAAGTAGGCTAAGGATATTGAGTTCTCTTCCCTTTTATCTCCGTATCCTTGATCCTTTCTTTTTTCTTTCTGCTACTTCCCTTTCACCATTTGCCACCAGAAGCTGCCAGAGGGCAAGGAAATCCAGGCAATGCATCCCATTGAGATCGGCTCCTTGGGTACAGAGCAGGGTGGAAAAGAACAGAAAATAAATAAAGGGTAAAGACAGGACAGGGACCTAAACAGGATTGTTCAATCTTGAATGCCTGGCACTTCCAAGAGGCCCAGGACACATAGAAAAGAAATATTTATTACATGAGTGAATGGATATAAGTAGGAGCAAGTCTCCTGACCCTCACTTATTCCAAAGACTTTTTCATTTCAACATTTCTGCATGTTAGCCTGTTGCAAAACCACAAATCTGCTGCCAAAAGGTAAGGCTGGATGTTTGGTTCTCTTATGAACAGGAGAAGACTGGCCTATAACTGTGGACACAAGGGAAAGCATTTTCTGACATTCAGATCATTTGGAAGCATATAAAAGTTAAATCTGTTCTACATTGTGTTGGAAAGAAAGAAAAAATAAACAAACAAACAAGCACAACAACAACAAATCACAGAGAGGAAGGAAAAAAAAGAAAACTGATGTGCTGTGTCCCCAATTTGTGCACGATTCTCTGCAGTGGTTCAAGTTTATCCCAGCTTATCACTTAAAATCAATGACCTATTTTCTTACCCTTGCCTACGTATTCTCTGTATGATGCACTTTGAAAAGTGTTGCTCCTCACACAAACAATATCAAAAGCCACCTGGGTGAGTTGTCACTCCTTGTTACTCATCCCCGCTGGGCACCTTCGGGAAATGAGGGTGAATTTGAGGAGGATTCAGAGCTGGTGAACAAGTCCCACAGAGATGTGGTGGGGAAGAGTGGCACCAGATAGCACAGAAGCTGGCCATTTTATTTCTCATCAAAAGAGCAGGAAATAATATAGTCAATAAGAAGCAGGAAGGAGCCAGGGGATTTTGTGAATAAACACCAGAGTCACTGGAAGAAAGGACAGAACAAATCCTTCACGTAGCCTTGGATGTCCTTGTTCTGCCCTGTAGTGAACAAGGGAAAGGGGAAGAGTGTGATGAATAGATCATGTCAGGAAACTATCAGACACCTCAGCTTCTCTCGTGTCTACTTTATCTCCCAGTTTAGAGAAAAAAAAAAAAGATTTCCTTCAACTTTTCATTGTAAGCTATTGTTTGGGCTTATAACAGGCATATTCAAATTGCAGATGGAAATGATTTCAGAAACTGTATTGTTCTTTTTGTTATTTATTGTTTCATTTTTAAGACCAGAAAAAGCACACCTCTTAGAGAGTGTGCCTATATTCTCCAATGAATATCGAAGATAATTTTCTGGTATATTTTCTGATAAATAAAACAATATAATAAGGTAGTTGCTGATATGTGCATGCAAAGCTGAAGTTTATTGTTCTTACTTTTCTACATTTTGAGCTTATTATAAAATCTATGAAACTTTCAAATATGTGTAAATATATAAAATATACATATATAGACTATATATATAATGAATATACATATACACATTCCATACACGTATAATTTATTTTTATTTATCTTTTATTTTTTTTTATTTTTTGAGATGGAGTTTCACTCTGTTGCCCAGGCTGGAGTGCAGTGGTGTGATCTTGGCTCATTGCAACCTCTGCCTCCTGGGTTCAAGTGATTCTCCTACCTCAGCCTCCCAAGTAGCTGAGATTATAGGCATATGCCACCACGCTTGGCTAATTTTTGTATTTTTAGTAGAGATGGGGTCTCACCATGTTGGCCAAACTGGTCTTGAACTCCTGGCCTTGGCCTCCCAAAGTGCTGGAATTACAGGTATGGGCCACCGCGCCCTGCCATACATGTATATTTTAAAGGTTAATAACAAAACCCCAACCTGCCCAAGGCCTACTTAAAGTACGCTCTCAGTAAGTTTCAGCACTTTTATGTCACTCCTTCATTGCATGCTATTCTGATCTCCGCCAGAGTGAATTTTCGGTAGATTTTTTTCCTTGCTTCTCTTTTTAGCTTTATCATATATGTAAGTATAAGAAACATTTAATTTTATAGTTTTGTGTTTTTTTGACTCCTATATAAATGAAACTGTAGTATATTCCTTTGTAAACTTGTCCTTTTAGTTCAATATCATTTTTTTAAAATTCATTCACAAAGATACCAATAATTGTATTTCTTCATTATCACTATTTTATAATATTCCACTGCATGGGTATGCCACATATTTTTTCCTTTTTATTTTAATTTCTGGGATACATGTGCAGGACGTGCAGGTTTGTTACATAGGTAAATGTGTGCCATGGTGGTTTGCTGCACCTATCAACCGGTCACCTAGATGTTAAGCCCAGCATGCATTAGCTATCTATCCTGATGCTCTCCCTCCTCCCACAACCCTCGACATGCCCCAGTGTGTGTTGTTCCCCTCCCTATGTCCATATGTTCTCATTGTTCAGCTCTCACTTGTAAGTGAGAACATGCAGTATTTGATTTTCTGTTTCTGCATTAGTTTGCTGAGGATAATGGCTTCCAGCTCCAACCACATCCCTGCAAAGGACATGACTTCATTCCTTTTTATGGCTGCATAGTATTTCAAGGTGTACATGTACCACATTTTCTTTATCCAATCTATCATTGATGGGCATTTAGGTTGACTCCATGTCTTTGCTATTGTGAATAATGCTGCACTGAATATATGCGTGCATGTATCTGTATAACAGAATAATTTATATTCCTATGGGTTTATACAATAATAGGATTCCTGGGTCAAATGTTATTTCTGCTCTTTAAGGAGTCTCCACACTGTCTTTCCAATGGTTGAACTGACTTACATTCCCATCAAGAGCGTAAAAAGCATTTTATTTTCCTGGCCAACATGGCGAAACCCTGTTTCTATAAAAACACAAAAATTAGCTGGGTGTGGTGGCACACACCTGTAGTCCCAGCTAATTGGGAGACTGAAGCAGGAGAATCACTTGAACCCAGAAGGTGGAGGTTGCAGTGGGCCGAAATTGAGCCACTGCACTCCAGCCTGGGCAATAGAATGAGACTCTGTCTCAAAACAAAAAAGTAAAATAAAATAAAAATAGTTTTCCTATTTCTCCACAGCCTTGCCAGCATCTGTGGTTTCTTGACTTTTTAATAATCATCATTCTGACTGGCATGAGATGAGATGGCATCTCATTGTGGTTTTGATTTGAATTTCCCTAATCATCAATAATGTTGACCTTTTTTTCATATGTTTGTTGGCCGCATGTCTGTCTTCTTTTGAGAAGTGTCTGTTCATGTCCTTTGCCCACTTTTTAAATGAGGTTGTTTGTTTTTTCCTGTAATTTGTTTAAGTTCCTTGTAGATTCTGGATATTAGACCTTTGTTAAATGGACAGATGGCAAAATTATTTTTCCCATTCTGTAGGTTGTCTCTTCACTCTGATAATAATTTCTTTTGCTGTGCAGAATCTCTTTAGTTTAACAGGCTCCATTTGTAAATTTTTGCCCTTGTTGCAATTGCTTTTGACATTTCTGTCATGAAGTCTTTGCCCATCTATGTCTTGAATGGTATTGCCTAGATTTTCTTCTAGGGTTTTTGTAGTTTTGAGTTTTAAATGTAAGCCTTTAATCCATCTTCAGTTAATTTTTGTATGAGGTGTGAGGAAGATGTCCAGTTTCAATTTTCTGCATGTGGCTAGCCAGTTCTCCTAGCACCAATTATAAATAGGGACTATTTTCCCTATTGCTTGTTTTCATCAGGTTTGTCAAAGATCAAATCGTTGTAGATGTGCGGTCTTGTGTCTGAGATTTATATTCTGTTCCATTGGTCTATCTGTCTGTTTCTGTACCAGTACTATGCTGGTTTTTTTTGTTTGTTGTTTGTTTGTTTTTGTTTTTGTTTTTACAGTAGCCTTGTATAGCTTGAAGTTGGGTAGTTTGATACCTCCAGTTTTATTCTTTTTGCTGAGGCATACCTTGGCTATAAGGGCTCTTTTTCGTTTCCATATGAATTTTAAAGTAGTTTTTTCTAATTATGTGAAGAACTTCAATGGTAGTTTAATGGGAATAGCATTATATCTATAAATTACTTTGGGTAGTATGGCCATTTTCACAAGGATATGGCACAAATTGTTGATATATTCTAGTGGATACTTGTGTTGTTTCCAGTTTTGTTATTGTTTTTCTTTTTGCCGTGTTAAATGAGACCACTAGAATATAACCACTGGATCACAGAATGTTCATCTATGTCTTCCTAAGGTAATGCCAAGTTGTTTTCCAAAGATAATAATACAAGCTTCCACTCTAGCTGCCAGGGTGTGAGGGCCTCTGCTGCTCCACATATGCTAATATGAGGCAGCACATGGGATTGTCAGACTCCCTGATTTTTGCTAGTCTGTTGGAGATTTAGTGGTATCTCAATGTGATTTTATTTATATTTACTTGAAAACTATATGATGTAAGTTTCCAGTTGTGTCTAATTTCAAAAGAAAAAAACAAACAATGTAACAGAACAAAACAAAAGCAAACAATATAACAACCAAATGGCAACAACAACACGCACAAAATAAACACCCAAGGAACCTTATTTAAATTATCATTCTTGAGCCAATGAGTAATTTACTGTTTTTGTTTTAATGTATGCTCTATCTTCATCTGTTAGGAGATTACCTCACTATACAGACAGATTCTCCATACAGATCAACCTAACAGTAAGAAATGTGTGTGTTTGGCACAGTGCCTTGGGAAGAAGAGCTGCTATGTGTCATTGATGACTCTATTGTTTCACCAGTTTTCCTTTAGTTACTATACAAATGGGAACAAGGATGGGAATTAGGGAAATTTTCCAAGTGTAAGAAGCTTTCAGATCTTCTCACATCACTTATTGGATATGCAGTGACACATTAGACCTTTATTTTGTATAAAAGTTGTCTGTTCCTTCTCTTGCTTCTCCTTCTTCCAAATTGTTGACCTGCATACAACATCAATAACAAACCCATTAAACAATTTTTAAGCCAATTTAGTAGCCACCACTTCCAGGTCACTACCACCATACCATTTTGAAAGTGGCTCCACACAGGGCTTCTTCTGGAAGTTTATAGTATCCCCATTCAGGGCCAACTGTGCACCTTCTGCAGAATGAGATGGGGTTCCCCAACTTTTGTGTATGTTTTTTAATCCTCTCTTATTCTGGGATGTTAGGCCCTGAAAGGACACAGGAACAGGGCTGATCATGCGTGCTTTCAGGGCCCAAACATCCAAGACAGTTTGTACCAGGATAACCCCAATAGTTGTTAAAATATTGAAGCATTCCCATGCAGGTTGGTCAATAAGCAATTGTCTCAGAACTTGTATGGCCAATCACAATGGGAAGCCTCTAAGACTCTTTTGTAGCAGCATAGATTGGTGTCTATTTTGAATGGTTGGAACATTGTGTGTGTGTGTGTGTGTATGTGTGTGTATGTGCATGCACCTGAGTTAGTGGAAGTAAAGTAAGGGGAAGAGAGGAGGCAATGAGGTTTGTCTATGACATTCTCACTCTCCCAGGTTGCTTCTTTTCTTTACAAAATCCAGAGCAGACCACTTTCAATTTTGCTTTACTTCCCTTTCCATCTATCTAGGACTTACTGCAGCAGACCTCCAGGTTTTGTATCTTTACTTTCTCCCAAGATCAGCCTCATGACCAGACTTTGATGGTTGGTGGAGTAATAAGGGGAGTCCAATCAACCAATATACTAAGTATAAGGAACTGAACTGGGAGCCATTTCAAAAATGTATCTATCATCCACACACACACAAATAATGCATAATGACCTTTTGGGTAGATTTTAATGAAGGAAAATGTAAATCCTCAATGCAGGTTGCAAAAAATGAGGATGTCAAAGTAACCCATAATAATGCCTCTTGTATTATTCATGGTCTTTGATGAAAGATTTTTTAATAAACAATTTCACCTTTATCAACCAAATTTAATTACATTTGTACCAGGATAATTCTTTACTTGTTTGGCTTAGAAATGACAAAGCTTCTTTCCAGATTCATTATGTATTTTTAGGATTTTTCAAGAAATCAGGAAGTAAGAGTTATTTTCAAATGCTTTTACAAGGGTGACCAAGAGGCCAGTGTTACTGGAAAGGAAAAATATATGATGTCAAACTCAACCCACTGAATGCCAAAAATAAGAAGGTATTCATTACTGAACCCAGTTTTATTGGCAGGGAAAAATGCAATTGAAAATACCAATCACCAGTAAAGCATATATGAAACAATGCTCTTTCGTAGTCATTTTGCATTTAACAAGTTTTTAATTTTTTTAAAAAAATGGGAATACATAAGATGCTTCCTATGCAAATAAATTTCATGAATTTCAGTGAAAATACTTTGTTTTCATCCCAGGTTCACCACACTCTTTCTATCTGACAGATTTTTTTTTCAACAGAATATGGGAGTGATTTTGTCCAGTTATTCTTCTAGGTCTCCGTGGAAATTTCTTTCTTTTATAGATACCATCTGGCCTAATGAGATTCTAACAGTTCTATACACACTCTGTCTTTCTTTGTATTTGCATTTTTTCACTGGAGTCATTGCTGGTAGTGAAATGGAAAAATAAGGGGAAAAAAGTATGTATGTTAAATAAGCATGGCAGTTTTCTCTGTCATTTAAGAAAAGTAATTACAATTATTCGTTTGATTTACTGAATGTAAGTATTCAGTTTGAACACTGTCCAAAGGATGTTGCCTTACTTAAATATCCAGTGATCCTAAACTAAAATTGCGGCTGTAGTCACTGATGGGTTTAGTCTAGGAATATATAATCTTGTGTGTCTTCAAAATGTTAGGAAGAAATCTTCTTAAGCAGGATTTCATTATGTGTTTTCAATCACTAATCTTCACTCCTTGTCTCTCTCTCTCTCTCACCCCGCCCCCCCGTGTGTGTTTGTGTGTGTGTGTGTGTGTGTGTGCATGTGTGTGTGTGTGTGTGTGTGTGTCTGTATGTTTCTGTCTGTAGAATTAGGTGGAGGGTTGGTAAGAATAAATACAATCCTACACTGAGATGTAGAGGTAGCAAGCCAAATTTGAGGTAATTATGCTAGGACTCACATTGTTAGCTTCCTTGTTCACCAAATGTACAAATTTAGCTCATAATCAATATTTTTAATGCAAAAGTTTATATAAGGTCCATACTGGGTAAGGAAAAGAAAAAATAACATTAAACAGGGACTTACATCCTGACAACTTTTGTCTCATGCATCAGGGACTCTGTCCTATGGGATAGATCTACGCGTATTTGGGGAAACACATTGGCCAGTGGTCCAAAGTGGAGGGTAGCTCTGGGATAAGAAAGGCTTTAGATTCATTTTTCAACTCTTACATTTACTGTTGACATAGGACATGTTTCTTAAACTTTACTAGCCTGTAAAATCAGTGGAGTAGACAAGAGGAGATAAAGTACCTAAAAGTGTACCTAGCACATAGGAAACAATAAAAATTATCCAATTGTGTTTTAAGAACCTATTTTGACTATACAGCTATGTACTTTGAAGTCAAAGTTGTTTACATGTGAGAAAGGAAATGGACCAACAGAATAATTATAGATGGCAACATCCTTTGCCTAATGAATCATTTGTTAAAATACATTCATCTACCATGTGTCAGAGGCTGGTGCTGAGGCTATGTAAGTTACCAAAGGAGGCGAAATCCATGCTACCGTGGAGCTTTCAATCTAACAATTAATGATAAGCAGATCACAACATGGCAGAATAGTAGATACATTAGAAAAAAGTGTCTGCTCCCCCCTACACACATATTAGTCATTTGTAAATGTTTAGAATGATAAACATTAAAAGTTACATTTTCTTTAAAAATATTTTATTTGGCCTTACACATGGAAGTAATTTTCTCTGGCTAGGCTTGTATTTTTATTATGATATGTGAAGCAGTTAACATAACTCATATTAACACTGGCTGGAGGTTTTATCTTCAAGGGCAGCTGGTGACAGGGCCATTAAGGTCCACAGAGAGAGGTGGAAGGAAGGGTGGTCTGAATGGGCAATTTCTCATTTGTTGGATTGATCCTTGATTTTATCAGCATGCTCACGTTCAAAAAATCCCATTGTGAGGTATAATAGATGACACCTGATACTAAAAATCTACCTACCAGCCTGAACAGTTCAGAAATTAATGCCTCTCATAACACCAAGAGATTTGATAATGAAGCCAGCTCAGTAGAGGTCAAGGGGAAATGATATTATGTGTGTTCCCCTATGAATCAATGTAATCCTATTGCATTTCCCCAGATGTTCACCCCTGGCCTGTGCAGCTACAATGTGATCTCAAAGACTTTCATAGGAATCCTACTAAACAATTTTGTCTAAACTTGAGGCACTGAAAAACTGTGTATGGTGTAACAGGTGGAGTTTACATGGCAGGTTCCTTTGTCCCTGGAGATCTGATCAAATGGATCCTCATCCCATGCTCCTTGATTGTCCGGAGTACTTCCAAGTGTTCAGAGAGTTCTTAGGAGAATCTATAGTCTCATGGTCACTTTTGGTTCTACTTTATCCTCTAAATTTGAGTTACCTTGCCATTCTGTGAAAGGTTTCTCTGTTCTTCATTGCCTTGACCCAGATGTGAAATTTCATCACCTGCTCAATTTCCACACCTCCCAACCAACCTTAAAAGTCATTTGAATATAGCAGATTGTTCTGAAAATTTAGCAATGTAGGCGTTATGGGGTGGAGGTAAGGGCAGAGCCTTATGTGATGACAACACAAACACCATCACATTTATTTAAACCATGACTTTCTTTAAATTCCCTTTCCCTTTCCTTCATAGGAACACTCCACCAGCAGCTTCTTCAGTTTATGTCCTCAGTACCCAGCCTGGTCCCATCTCTCTTCTGGGCTCTGTTTTGTGTATTCAAGCATATCAGTATGCTTTGAAGAACAAAAGGACCTTGCTTAACACAATCCTCCTGCTCAGAAGAAATATGTGGTTTTAAATAATTTTGTTATTATTTTAACATGGCAAAAATTCTTGGGCATGCTGGAGTGTCAGGTCCATGGGGGAGAAAGATGAGTTGAAGCTGGACAGGTAAGACGCAACCAAACTGGGGAAGAATTAGTGGCTTGGTGAAGTCTTTGAAGTTTATACAGTTGAAAACATGTAGTCAATGAAGAAGTTTAAGGGCAGTGAAACCATGATTAAAGCTTTGTTTTTGAAAGTGACTATAAATGAGACTTGTAGGGAGGCAACAGAAATTTTGGAAGAAAAATGTTTAGGGCTTTGCCTGAACTAAAATAGTAGTAGTTTAAATGAATATGATGGGATGTGTGCTATGGTAGATCATTTTTCCTGTGCTATGGGGGTAAGTGTTAGCTTCTTTCTCCTGGACTAGTGTGTTAGATTCTTGAGAAGATGGATTGTCTAATTCACTTACAAATTTCCCAGAAGCTGTCCTAGGGCTTCCATCTAGTATGAGCCCTGTAAATGTTATTTCAGTGTATGGAATAAGATGATTTTCTGTCCACATCCATTAAGGGCAGCTTTAGTCAAAATTAATACATGGATATGGTTGTTAAAAAGGATTTTTCCACATTGAAATTTAAATGGATCCAAATCTTCTAGTCTCCTGGGGCTTCACTTTTTACCCAGTAAGATGATGGGAGTCACTATCCCTGGAAATAGAAGGTTCTAGCTGCTCTACTCACACACATACACACAAAACCCTCAGTAATCATTTTTACCTGGTATTTTCGTAGGAGGGTAAAAAGATGACATTTTTAAAGCTCTTTTCTCTCATCTCAACCAGCTTCTCTCATCTCAGCTTGTCTGTCTGTATAACTTGCCCCTGGACTGTGGTTCTGAGCTCAGCCTCAGGCCTATTGGATTGGCCAGTCTCCAAAATCAAATTCTGTAGCACATTGTCCCATAGTTTTACTGGGTAAAGGAAGATGAAGACAATGCAGGAAGAGAACAACTGACTGTCGAACATTATTCTTCTCAAAATATATTGGTCATTCCCACTCTAGGGGAAAATTTAAAGTACTTTGGGTTACAATGAAATATCAGTAGCCTCTTTTTCCCCTAATTAATTCTTTCCCTGTCCTTTCTGGATTCTGAAAATCCACTGGTGTTCGGGTATAAACTCCGAAATTGTTTGTCTTGCTTATGAGGGCATTCTAATTCTCTGTCTAAACCCCTCTTATCTATTTTCTACAGGATTGCCAGTTAAAATACAAGACTCCCTGTTAAAATTTAATTTCAGATAAAAAATAATTTTTAAGCATAAGGCTGCAGCATGGGATATACTCAATACAGGTACACCTCAAAAGTATTGCAAGTTCAGTTCCAGACCACCATAATAAATCAAATACTGCAATTAAAGAAAGTCACACTCTTTTGATTTATCAGCACATATAAAAGTTATATTTATACTATACTGTCGTTTATTAAATGTGCAATAACGTTATGTGTACAAAAAATACCTTAATTAAAACATTTTATTTACTAAAAATACTAACAATCATCTGAGCTTTCAGGGAGTCCTAATCTCTTTGCTGGTGGAAGGTCTTGCCTCGATGTTGATGGCTGGTGATTCATCAGGGTGGTGGTTGCTGAAAGTTGGGGTGATTACGGACTTTTTTTTATTTTGAGACAGTCTCGCACTGTCGCCCAGGCTGCAGTGCAGTGGTGTGATCTCGGCTCACTGCAAGCCCTGTCTCCCGGGTTCACGCCATTCTCCTGCCTCAGTCTCCCGAGTAGCTGGGACCACACGCGCCCGCCACCACGCCCTGCTATTTTTTTGTATTTTTAGTAGAGAAGGGGTTTCACCGTGTTAGCCAGGATGGTCTCAATCTCCTGACCTCGTGATCCGCCCGCCTTGGCCTCCCAAAGTGCTGGGATTACAGGCATGGCCACCGTGCCCGGCCAGACTGTGGAAAATTTTTAAGACAACAATGAAGGTCGCTACATTGACTGACTCCTCCTTTCGTGAAAGATTTCTCTGTAGCATGTGACGCCCTTTCGTACCATTTTTACCCACAATAGAACTTCTTTAAAAATTGGGGTCAATCCTCTCAAACCCAGCAGCTGCTTTATCAACTAAGTTTATGGAATATCCTAAATTCTTTGTTGTCACTTCAACAATGGTCACAGAGTCTTCACCAGATGAAGAAACCACTTTCTTTGTTCATCCATAAAATGCAACTCCTCATCTGTTCAAGTTTTATCAATGGGATTGCAGACATTCAGTCTCATCTTCAGGCTCTACCCCTAACTCTAGTTTTGTTGCAGTTTCCACCATATCTGCAGTTACTTTTCCGCTGAAGTCTTTTTTTTTTTTTTTTTTTTTTGAGACAGAGTCTCTCTCTTTAGCCCAGGCTGGAGTGCGGTGGTGCAATCTCTGCTCACTGCAACCTCCACCCACCGGGTTCAAGTGATTCTCCTGCCTCAGCCTCCCAAGTAGCTGGGATTACAGGTGCCCGCCACCACACCCAGCTGATTTTTGTATTTTTAGTAGAGAAGGGGATTTCACCATGTTGGCCAGGCTGGTCTTGGGCTCCTGACCTCAGGTGATCCGCCTGCCCCAGCCTCTGAAAGTGCTGGGATTACAGGCATGAGCCACTGCGCCTGGCCTCCACTGAAGTCTTGAGGCCCTGACTATCATTGATAAGCGTTAGAATCAACTTGCACCACAATATGTATTGTTTTCCACCTTCTAAGTACGTGGTTTGTGGTACCCCAAAACAACCACAATAATAACATCAAAAATCGCTGATCACAGATCACCATAACAGGTATAATTTTAATTTTAAAAGTTCGAAATATTTCGAGAAACACCAAAAGGTGACATGGAAAAAGGAAGTGTGCATATGTTGTTTGCAAAATGGCCACAGTACACGTGCTCAATACTTGGTTGCCACAAACCGTCAATTTGTAAAAAATGCAATATCTGCAAAGTGAAGTGCAATGAAAAGAGGTATGCCTGTTTACTAAAAAAAAAAAAAAGTCATTGTTTATCTGAAATTCAATTTAACATGGTTTCCTTTATTTCTAATAGCTTTATTGAGATATAATTCCTGTCGTACAATTTAGCAATTTGAAATGTACAATTTAATAGTTTTTAGTAAAAACAAATTCATATCTCCATGGCTACAGTAGACATTTTTGCTACTCAGAAAGACCCCTGTAGGCCTTTGCTATTACCTCTCAATGCCCCATCCCCTGTCATCCCCAGACATAATAAAACACAAATGTACTTTCTCTATAAATGTGCATATTTTGGACATGTCATATAAATAGAATCATGAACTGTGTACACCTTTGTGACTTGCTTCTTTCTCTTAGCATGAAGTTTCAAGGTTAATTTCTGTTATAGCATGTATCAGTACTTTATTATGGAGCAATATTGCATTGTATGGATCTACTATATATTATTTATCATTTCATCACTTGATGGACATTTGAGTTATTTCACATTTTGGCTATTATGAATAATGCTGCTATGAGCATTTGTATACAAGAGTTTGTGCAAACATATGCTTTTATTTCTCTTGGGTATATATCTAGGAGTAGAATTACTGTACTATATGGTAACTTTAGGTTTAGTAGTTTGAGGAACTGCCAAGTTGTTTTCCAAAGTGGCTGCACCATTTACTTTCCCACCAGCAGTACTTGAGGGTTCCAATTTCTCTACATCTTTTCTAATAATTGTCATTGTTTCTTTTTTGATTATGGTTTTGATTTGTATTTCTCTGATAGGTAATGATGGTAAGCATATTTTAATGTCCTTACCGGCCAATTTTATATCTTCTTTGGGTGAATATCGATTCATATCCCTCACTCTTTTTTTAATTGGGTTATTTGCCTTTTTTCATTATTGAACTGCAATGGTTATTTATATATACTATGTACAAGTTACCTCTCAGACCTATGACTTGCAAAAGTTTCTCCCATTCTGTGGGTAGCATTCTGCACTTTTATTTGCCAAATTGTATTTGCTTAATTCTATACCAAAGGACACTCACCTTACATAACTCAAAAGTCTCCATAAGGTATTTTCCAAACAAAGAAGGACTTCTCTCACTGAAAGGAATTTTGCTTTCCTCCTGGACTTTTTGGCTCCAAGTGTGGTTGACTTTTAAAATAAGTTTATTTATTTTCCTGATTGAATTTCTCTGTGTTCTCATTAGTCATCCGATTTTCAGCCCTTTTCTGTTGAACCCTTTTCATCAAAAACAGGTACTGAGAAAGAAGATCTTGTTTTCCCTTAAAGTTTTCCCTTAAAGTTGTTACTGAGTTAAAATGTAGAGCCTGAATTGTGAAGTGGATGATAAGTGGTCTTCACAATTACCCTGGAACATCTCCTTGTACATATCTAACAAACACACTCTTTTCTCGTAAGAACCAAAACAAGAGGCACCTTTGTGATTATCTATTCAAGACACCTTATAAAATATATCTCATTTGTATCATCTCCAATAGTAACCCACGAGCCATCTAATAGCAATTTCAGAATGAATAAAACAAAAAATAGCAATATGGTTGTGACCTGCTTTAAAGATAGTAGTGTACTTATATTACAGGAAAACAATTGAATGGGACTACTTAAAGGGTAATTTATGTAAAAATATATACCATTATATGAGATACATAGTAGGTGCTGAATAACGTTAGTTTCATAATTGTTTTCCTTATTCAGTATTTAAATTTAAACCCCTAAAAATAATTCACTGGGGTATCAAATTATATGCCTACATTTGTAAACTGGAATCATTCAGTAACTGCAAAATATTAAGTATCTATAAAAAGGCCTAGGCATTGTATTAGAGACTTAACTCATAATTTTTCATTTATTTACCATAATTCTCTGTTAGATATATATAATCACTTTTAGGTTACATATATATTCACTGAGTTCCAGTAACATATTCAAATTCATATAAGTGGTAATATAAAATCTGCTCTTCAAATATAGAGCAGTCTTTCCTGAAAACTCATGTTCTTTTTAATATAGAACATTTCATTTCAAATCCTATATATTTTACAAATGTTTCTTTTTCCAGAGATCTTCTCTGATCACTCTGAGTGGAAGTAATTTGTTCTATAATGGACCTCCAGAGTAATTTCACTGGGACCCTCCTATGGTACTTAGCATTTTCTACATTTTTATATTTATTGGTTTCTCAGTGTTTTCGCTGTAATTTTATTTCTTCTCCCATCATCTCTCCTTCTATATTCACAGTGATAGATCTTTCACTACAATGTGTTTACTAATATGTTAGAAAGAGCCAATAAGTGATATGCAGCAGTGATCCCCAACCTATTCTTATCATGACAAACATAGACAATTAAGGCACTGAAATTCTACTTAGATTAAAGGTGGATTAGCTTATCTCGATCAATAACAAAAAGGATGGGCTTGAAAATTTCTAAAAAGCATAACAAATCTAAAAAGTTTGTAAGGAATTATCATTACAAAACTGATGAGAGAGAGAGGTACCTAAAAAAGTAAGTAGAGCATAGAAGATGCTTTTACTCTGGATAGAAGATGCTTTTACTCTGGAAAAAAAAATCCATCTAGCCAAATTTTAACTTTGTTTTTCTAACTGCCTAAAATGTGTGAGAGGTCAAACTCCAGAACACATCCAAAACTTGAGAGTTTAACAGGAAATCCTCCTAACGTTGAGGGGGTATCCCAAATGAATAATCCTGGAGAAGAGATTTTTAAAAATCAGCTTTCGTATTCATTTCAAACCCATATTGACATCAATTAGAAGTTCACAAACTATGAATTTATGATAACTTTTGAGCAGACCAGAGGGACTCCTAGGAACCTTAAAACAAAAAGAAACAGTTTGTAAAGTTGTATCTTTATCTTAAGCCCAAAATTATTGCTGCAGATTTTTTTTCTAGGGTGAGGAACATCATGCAATAATGATAAAGCATATCAAATATAATCAAACCTACAGAAAATGAGGTAAAATGAGTTAGAAACCAGAAAAAAACAGACAGCAAGAAATAGAACTAGAAAGAATTTCATATATGGGAATTATCAGAGACAGATCATAAAACAGCCATGATTACTACTTTTATGAAATAAAAGGTGAATTGAGAACATATTCCAAAAACAGAAACCTATAAAAAGTGGCAGATCAAATTAAAAACTTACAAAATACAACTTGTAGAAATCAAGAATACAATAACTGATAAATAACTAAATGGATGAATTAAATGGCAGATTAGATGTAACTAAAGAGACAGCCAGGAAGAAAGATCAGGGAAATTATCTGGAAATAAGATTGCAGAGAAGAAAGGATAAAACTATGCAGTAAATTTAGTTGACTGGGTGGACACAGTCTAAGTTAGCGAGCTATGAAATGGAAGCAAAGCCTTCTGATTCCCTGTTACTTTCTGGGTGTTAGAATAAATTGCTTTACTTTATACTTCAATATAATTTGCTATAATCACTAAAGGAATATAAATAGGTAAATTAACTTCAGAAATTATGTCACAAAAATTGCAGGATAAAAAATGCTGCATACCTTAAATATACACAATAAAATTTATTTTAAAAATTAATGAAAATATTAATAAAAATAGAATAGTGGATAAAATAATAAGAAAAATTAAAATTGAAAGTACAAATTTGAAAGGAGAACACAGGGTGGTTGAAAAAATGAAATGTATTTACAATGAAATTAAATGCAAATTGATTAAATGCTCTAGTTAAAAACAGATTATCAGATTGAACATGTATATTCTGTTTATAAGATATATGTGTTATTTAGATGTACCTAAAGCATAAAGATAATGAAAGAATAAAAATGAAAATACGTACAAATAGTAATCAAAAGTACAAATAATAATCAAAAGAAAGGTGTAGCTATAAATATAACAAAAATTGTCTTTTAGCCACAAAGCATTACTGGTGATAAAGAGGTTCATTTTATAATCATGAAGGTTTGAGTCCTCCAATCCTAAATTTATATTCACCTGGTAACAGTTTTAAGATATATAAAGTAAAAACTGATAAGAAAGAAACAAATATTGACCAAAATTAAAGAAACTGAGAAAACAAAGAGTAGGAATGAGTTAGAAGAATTGAACAATAAAATACCATACATACCAAACAACTGAAAAACACAAATTACTTTTAGGCATATTTGTATCCATTATGGAACATTCACAAAATTTGATCAAGTGCTAGGTGTGGTCATGTAAATTTATATCACCATTTTGGAAATGTTGGATAATATCTATTGATAGTATGTTTGAAGTTACATACTCCTTTGAACCAGCAATCTCACATCAAGAAAAATACTCTTGAGAATATCATGAAATTGTCTTTTAGGGCATATATTCAGGAATGTTTCATACCAAGACTATTTATAATAGCTACAAACTGGAAATACCCAAAATGCTACCAATAGGAGCATGGATAAAAAAACTGTATTGTATTACCAAAAAAAAAATTCTATACAACAAATGGAGAAAATACAACATCTACAGATGTCAACTTGAATGAATCATGCCATCAAATCTTGAGTAAATCAAGAAACATTCCAAATGATGCTTAAAATGTAATTCCATGTATGTAAAATTAAAAAAAAAAATATTAGTAAATATAATTGTTTAGAACTGTGTACATAAATAGTAAACTACAATTTTAAAAAATGTGCATTACAATGGTAAAGATAGTGGCTGTTTGCACACAGAGTGGGAAGGAATTATAGAGGGCTTCTGACATGTTGGCTGTGTTCTGTTTTTCAGCCTGGATGATCTAAACATGTATATTTTCCACGCTGTTCTCTTTGTAAGTTATATTTGACAAATAAGAAGATTTTTAAAAAGCCAATTTGAAACTATTTTAGGGTTCATAGGTATAAAAGGGAGAAGTAGCTTTCAGCCAAAAGGGAGTCTCCAGTTTTACCTGACTGCCTTAAGAGCCTTGGAGGAGTCAATGTTTATCTTCTCTAACCCTTCCAGGGAGGTCATTATGCTATCTCCTACTTTGTAGTCCCCAGATCAAGGAAATTTAAAATCTCACTCTACTTGATCTTAATGAGCTCTTTTGTTTCTTTACCTCCCTCTCTCCGTCTCTCCTTTCTGTTTACAAAAATGACAGGTTTTATGGTCCCTGTGGTAGCAGTTTTATACAGTCTTATAACAAATTGTCTCAACCTAGATGCTATTGACATTTGGACTAGATAATGCTTTGGTGTGTTTGTAGTGAGGGCTGGGGGTGGGGGTGGGGCTGGCTTATACATTGTTGGATGTTTTGCAGCATCTCTGGTCTCTACCCCTAGATGTCTGTGGCACACCCTCCTTTCCCCCAGCCTTCCTTCCCACTTGTGACAACAATAATATCTCAAAATATTGCTAAATTTCACTTAGGGGACAAAACAGCACTGGGCTAGGAACAACTGACCTACAGCTATGGGCAAAAGGAGTCTTTAACAACTATTGTTGGATCAGTAGGTATACATTCAGGCTTCACATATAGGTGCAGGTTTAAGCTTGGTAAGAGAGGACATGAGGAGGTATAGCTAAATATATAGAGGTACGCTATATTGAAGGGAAGTTACATCTGCTGGCTCTAAATGGTGAAAATTGAGTGGAAGTTTTGATCAGATGAATGACAACAGGAAATTTTTAAAAAGCCCAATCATTAAAGTGATTTGCAAATACATTAAGGTAGGGATCTCCCATCATGGTTAGTATTCTAGCAGAAGCTGCATTAATTCAGGAATATTGAAGACATTATCCCTGGATATTTGGACAATTCAGAGTTCTGGTTTCCAAGGTCTCCTCTACTGTCAGGAGGATGACCTTTAAATAAAAGACTCCTGGACTTATCAGGGACAGTGTCTTGTAAAAAGCCAGTGTCTTTCTCTGCTGTCTCGGAGACAGAGTTTGCTATTAAGGATTTTTCATTGCTTTTTTGATTGCTTGTGGCCTTCAAACAGTGTTGAGTAAAAATACATTTTCATTTTTCCAGCATTTCTGAGCCAGGCAATTGCTATTTAGTTTAGAAAAGAAGATTGGCTTTTTTCTATTAGTGAGTGTAAAAAAAAAGTATTGCCAGTTGCAGAAAAAAATCCATAGAAAGACTCTCTCTCATCATCATCATGTATATTTGACTAAATGTTTCCTCTTTTTTAGGGGGAGACCACATGACCTGGATGACCTAGGATAGCCCTGGTTATCCTTCTGCCTCGCATCCTGTCTAGTTTAGCACTTGTTCTAGGTTTTTCACTTGTAATAAAATTGTCATTAATAACCATGACATTTAAATAATCTGGAATGCTTTTGGTAGACTGCGACTTTGACTTTTAGCTTCCAATATAGTCTTACCTAAGAGCAAGATTTTTAACATGCGCTTAGAAGTCGCACATCTTTCTTTTCATGATTCTTTCCAAATGCATCATAGCTAAATCTCTCTTTGTAAGGTAGCAGGCAGATGTTTGCTGACATAACAAAGTCTTCTCAAATGCGACTAAGGACTGCTAACTCTGTGGCTTCAGGTGTCTGTGGTAGAGGCATCGGGCTTGTTGCCCCCAGCAACCACTTGGTGTACCAGCCAGTTCTATGACCTGTGCTAAACCTGCCTGGTGCAGGAAGATACAGTACAGCAACTGGGAGAGGAGTTAGAGTAATACATGGGGCATTACTGGTTAGGAATTTGTAGAATATGTGAGGGTAATAAAAGTTCAGGCTTCCAGTTGTAGAATGCCTAGAATAGTATAAATGCTATCACTACAGTGGTTGTGTTATTTATTGTATGGAATAAATCTACAACTGTTTATTTAGTTTGTTGTTTGGCAATGCTTATTTTTAAATAAACCTTTTTAGCAGCAGTAGCTCAAATAAACAGAAGTGCATGCTTAGAGAATTTCCAGTAGCTAAGAAAGTCAATGATAAACATGTACTTGAGCAAAATGTTTCTCTACATTTAGCATCCTCCATGGGAACTGTAGTGAAATCACTGACCACACAAAAGCCAGAAGACCTAAATCTGCTAAAGAAACACCAGCATCTACTTAAAAAAATCACTTGTTATTTTAGGAAACTGTGCCTAAGGATGACAAATTAATACAGCTCTGAAGTGTGACTATCAAATAATAGTTCTTTTAAATTAACTTCACTCATTTTCTATTGCAAGTATTGTTATCCATATACAAAAAAAAAGTCAAACTGAAGTAGTTGCAAATGTCTTGGATTTATTAACAGATATCTTTGCAAACAGTTAAATGATGCCAGTTTTATATCGATGTTATCAGATGGTTTAAAGAGAAAGCCAGTTAAGGCCAATATGGGAATTTCTTCTAGTTCATGGAATCAAACTAAAAGTTTAGGGAGTTCATTCCAACGTAGGTAATGCATCTCATGGTAATTTCAACGCTACAAGAAATTTAGTTATAAGAGTTCAAAATGAATATTAAAGAGAAACTACTTGTTTCTTTTTCACAGTTTAATACACATACAATTTTTGAATGATTCTTGTGTCATGATAAAGGCAATGTTCTTATTAAATTATGGAAGCCATGGAGCAGAAATGTAGTAACAATAGCCTGTGTACAAACATAATTCATAACTGGGTCCAAAAAGCCTTCAATAATCTACCAATAAAAAGAAAAGCTATAGTTGTCAAAATTTACAAATATGTTTAATAAAAGAACTTTGAAGAAAAACTAATGCTTATTATTAAATATATATTTTAGCCTGGTGGCCCTCGTTTCTCTCTACAAGGCTTATCCTTAATTGTTTTTAAAAATGTTGAGCTTTTACATAAATACTTGGCAAATCAATGTTAAGTGTTCCGGAATCATATATAACTTTTTTTGGGAAACTCATTTCTAAGCATTCTCTTACCAAACTCAGTTGGGAAATTTTAATAAAATTATGCATTCCAAAGACATGCCTTCTTGAAGGTAGAGTTCCCAGAAAGATAAGACATTAAAAATTATCCCTGCAAAAATAAAGGAAAGACTGAATGAATTAAACATGAATCCAAAGTTTGGACAACATTGAATTTTAGAATTCCATTTTGGCATTTTAGAATATCTTGACTCACTGAAAAATTATTAAAAAAAAGTTTTTCCTGGAGCTTTGTTTTTAATCGAATGAGTTTATATTGTATATTAGAATGACATCAATTTGAGAAGGCCTAGAGTTTTGCAGTATCCTAATTTAGTGAAATATTTTAAAGAATGATAAAAGGCAATTTATTTGTTGAATTGCATCTTGTTAAAATTATTAACAAAGAAAGGTACTGTAAATTGAAGTAAAAATGTATTTATGAAAATATTTGGACTGAAACATTTGCATGTTTCAATATGAAAAGAAAAAAGAGCTGAGAATAGAGTGCACTTAGAAAAATAGATTCCAAATTGTTGCAACAATTTTAGTGAAAGTATTTTCTCAATTAAAGACATTATGGTCTATACAATAATGTAAATGAAGAATAAATTTAAAGTATTAAAAATATGAAATTTATTATACATAAAATGCGAGTCCATACAGGTTTACAGGTAATTAAAAATAATGCCATCTTTTCAAGATTCCTTCTCCCATTACCAATGACATAATATTAGAGACAGATTTAAATTAAAAGTTGATTAACATATATGACTATCTATGAAAGATGATTAGTTCGATGATGTTATTTTTTACATGTTCAAATGACAAAACATTTTTTGTTATTTTGCCTTTATTGCTATTATATAATGAGAGGAGATATATATTGTTTATATATTTTAGAAATAATTTTACTTTTAACATTGTTTTTGAATAGAAATATTTTATAATCTACCAACATAAGCCAATTTATTAATTAATAAACAGTTATTTTTAAAAATGTGATACATTATTTTTGACACCCCATTTCATTCTCCAAAATATCCCAGTTTACACATTAAATCACGTGTTCACTCATCTGTGATAATAATGACAGAGTGTTCTGTGAATACACACATACACACAGAGGGGCACATGTACTCTCAACAAATAATAGGATTTTTTAAAATAACGTATTTTCACCTTCACCTAATCTTAGTCAACAGATTCTAAGTGCTTCTTTTCTTTAAATTTTTATTTTGTAATGTTAAGAACATTTAACATGATACCTACCCTCTTAGTATATTTCTAAATGTTGACTAGTGGTACACTGTTGTACAGCAGTTCTCTAGAGCTTATTCTTCTTGCTTATTGATTACTAATTTCTCATTTCCTCCTTCTCCTAGCCCCTGGAAACCACTATTTCACAATTCAATTCTATAAATTTGATTATTCTTTTTTTATGAATATATAACATTTGTTCATATTTAAGGAGTATATGTGATACTTTGATATAAGGATACAATGGGCAAGGATCAAATCACTGTAATTAGGATATCCATCGCCTGAAGCATTTATCATTTCTTTGTATTAGGAACATTATTCTACTCTTTTAGTTATTTTGAAATATACAATAAATTATTGTTAACTAATGTTGCCCTATTATGCTACCAAACACTAGCTCTTGTTTCTTCTATCTGACTATATGTTTGTAACCATTTTAGACACCTCATATAAGTGAAATCATGCAGTGTTTGTCTTTCTGACTTACTTCACTTAGCATAAGGTTCATCCAAGTTATGGCATGTTGCAGATTTCTTTCTTAAGGTTGAATAGTAATCCATTGTACTATATATATAGTACAATACATATATAGTACTATACAATGGATTACTATATATCTATTACTATACAATGGATTACTATATATATAGTACTCTCTATATATAGTACTATATACATCTATATGTATATAGTACTATACATATAGTACTATATATGTATATGTATATAGTACTATATATGTATATATGTATATAGTACTATATATGTATATATGTATATAGTACTATATAGAGAGAGTACTATATATATATGCATATATGTATATATCTCTCATTTTTTTAATCTATGAAAATTTAAGTTATTTCCCCCTCTTGACTATTGTGAATAGTGTTGCAATGCACATAGAAGTGCTACTATCTCTTCAAGATCCTGATCTCAGTACTTTTGGATAAAATCCCAGTAGTAGAGTTGCCAGATTATGGTAGTCCTATTTTTTCTTTTTTGAGAAACCTCCAAATTTTTTCCATTGATGCCGCACCACTTTGCATTTCCATGAACGGTATGCAAGGGTTCCAATTTCCAATTTTTCTCCTTCCTTGCCAACACATGTTATTTTCTGGGGTTTTGTTTGCTCTTTTTTTTTTTAATAATGGCTACCCTAACAGGTATAAAATGACATTTCGCTGTGTTTTTGATTTGTTATTCTCTAATGATTAGAATGTTGAACATTTTTACATATACCTGTTGGCTATTTGTATATCTTTTTTTTTTTTCGAGAAATGTATATCAAGACCTTAGCTCATTCCTGAGTTGGCTTATTGTTTGTTTGTTTTCTATTGAGATGTAGGAATTCCTTACATGTTTGGGGGTCTAACATATATGGTTTGCAAATAATTTTCTCCCATTCTGTAGGTTGACTTTTCATTGCTGATCATTTCTTTTGCTGTACTGGAGCTTCATAGTTTGATGTAATACCACTTGTTTGCTTTTTATTACCTGTGCTTTTGGTATTATATCTGTGAAAATACTGGCAAAAACAATGTCATGAAGTATTTCCCCTAAGTTTTCTTTTAGAAGTTTTACAGTTTCAGACCTCAAATTTATGTTGATAATCCGTTTTGATTTTTTTTTTGCATATGGTATAAGATAAAGGTCCAATTTCCTTCTTTTGCATGGGAATTATCCATTTTTTCCAACACTATTTGTTAAAAAGAATGTATTTCTCTTTCAACAAAGTAGGAATAGAAGAAAATTACTTCAACATAATGAAGGCCATATATGAAAAGTTTACAGCTACCATTATACTCAATGGTGAAAAACAGAAAAAGCTTTTCCTCTATGATCAGGACCAAAGTAAGGATACGTATCATCACCATTTCTATACAACAAAGAGGAGAAGTCTTAAAAAGAGCACCTAGGACAGACAAAGAAATGAAAGGCATCCAAACAGGAAGGGAAGATGTAAAATTGTGCCTGTTGCAGACAACATGATCTTATATATGGAAAACCCTGAAGGCTCCATTTAAAACAATAAGAAGAACAACAACAAAATGTTAGAACTAATAAATGAATTCAGCAAAGTTGTAAGATAAAAAACCATATCCAAAAATTAGTTGCATTTCTATAGACTAACAACAAACTATCTGAAAAGAAAATTAGGAAAACAATCCCAAATATTGTAAAACCATTTACAATAGCACAAAAATAATAAAATCTTAGGAATAAACTTAACTAAGAAGGTAAATTACTTGTATATTTAAAACTATAAAAATCATGAATTAAACGAGACACACAGAAATGGAAAGGTATTTTGTTTTCATGGAAAACAATATTGTTAAGACATCCATACTACTACCCAAAGCAATCTACAAATTCAATGCAATCTGCATCAAAATCTCAGTGGTATTTTCTACCAGTAATAGAAAAATCCATTTTGTTTTTTTTTTTTGAGACAGAGTATCGCTGTATTGCCCAGGCTGGAGGGCAGTGATGCACAATCTTGGCTCGCTGCAACCTCCGCGCTCCCGGGTTGAAGCTATTCTCCTGCCTCAGCTTCCGAACTAGCTGAGACTACAGGCACATGCCACTACACCTGGCTAATTTTTATATTTTTAGTAGAAGCAGGGTTTCACCATATTGGCCAGGCTGGTCTCCAATTCCTGACCTCAGGTGATCCACCCACCTCAGCCTCCCAAAGTGCTGGGATTACAGGTGTGAGCCACTGGGCCCGGCCAGAAAAAATTTTAAAATGCATATGGAATCACACAAAATAATCAAATAGCCAAATCAATCTTGAGAAAAAAGAACAAAGCCAGAGGCATCACACTTTCTGATTTCAAAATATTTTACAAAACTACAGTAATCAAAAGAGTGTGGTACTGACATAATGACATGTAGGCCAATGAAACAGAACAGAGAGCCCAGAAATAAATCCATGTATATGTAGTTGACTGATCTGGGACAAGAATGCTAAAAATACACAATGGAGAAAGGATAGTCTCTTCAAATGTCTTCCATCATTAATTTATTCACTCAAAAATATACATTGAGGCCAGGCACAGTGGCTCACACCTGTAATCCCAGCACTTTGGGAGGCCAAGACTGGTGGATCACCTGAGGTCAGGAGTTCAAGACCAGCCTAGCCAACATGCTGAAACCCTGTCACTACTAAAAATGCACCAGGCATGGTGGTGCGCCTCTGTAATCCCAGCTACTCTGGAGGCTTAGGTGGGAGAACTACTTGAACCCAGGAGGTGGAGGCTGCAGTGTGCTGAGATCATGCCACTGCACTCCAGCCTGGATGACAGAGAGAGAGAGAGAGAGTTCTGAGAAGGTCCCACACCTCATGGAAAACTTAGCCATACGAGATACAGTCCTTATATCAAAGCATAATCTAGTGAGGAAAATTATATACACACACTATATATTTGCACACAAATATATATGTAATTTAATCACAGTGGGCTAACTGTCATGTCGGAAATCTGTGCTGGATGTAGATATTACACAGGTAATAGAATTAGCCCAGAACACTTTATTTACGGAGCATCTCATGGAACTGGAGTGCTACCAAACACATTTTTGGAAATCCCACTCTCTATAGAAGAAAATATTTAAAGGGTTTTTGGTAAGTGAACATAAATCAGAATTTTCTATTTTGAGATATATAGGAGTTGGATTGGAAGGTTGTAGAATCTCTGAGTTGTCCAAATAAATTTAGATGACTGCCGCTAGAGAAAAACTGCCTTTGTCGGGAAAGAAATGATAAAGGGCTGGAATTGTTTTACATTTAGTCACACTAATAGGGATGCAGAGAGCCTGAGAACCTGCATATGAGAGATCACAGATTTTGAAAAGAGCCAGAGCTTGGGATGATTGCCCATATAAAAATGCTTAAATGTCTTAAACATAATTTGAGTGGAATTATTTATATTTCAAGATTAACATACTGCTTGATACAAGTTGCCTGCACATTTTCCTTTAAGTAATGGGCTAATGGGCTCTGCGTCTCTTTGCCTAAATTAAATGTAGTTTGCAACAATTCAAAATGCAAATATTTTTTAAAGTAGTCTTTTTTTTTTTTTTTTTGACTGGCATTCACAAAAGCTACAGCACTCTTGTATTAGCAGGTAAAATCTGGACCTTATTTCATCCTGGACAATCCTTAAGCTGAGATATTCGCCAAATGGCATTATATCTGCTTTGTAAATGTTGATCTCAGGCTCCACTTATTTTAGCCGCTGGGTGTGGTTTGTCCCAGAGTCTCCTGTGAGCTTATTTTGCTAAGCAATCAGTTACACTCTAATAATTGATCAGCCTTTCTGTGTTCTTTACAAAGCAGACCTATCACTCAGCAAGATTTTTTAACACTATTTTCATGAAGTCTGGATCTACTGAGGATTTGATGGATTCAAGAAGACAAACTAAATGACTTTTTGGCTACCTCAGGATAGACAGGGGACAAGAAGAAAGCAAAAAGCAAAAAAGGAAAACAAGAATCAAATCATTTTCCATTAGACATGAATGGCTCAAACTAGTGCTCTCTCCCTTATAAGAATTAAATTTGTTTTACTCGCATAGAGTTAGGGGTCAGAATTTCTCTATTTTACAAACAGCATATTTTCCCTTTTGCTTTTGCACTTTAAGAACTTATATGTGGGGGATGGGGAATTGAGGTGTCTGATTTGTTAGTTGAAGGTTATGGTAATTTTTTTTGTTTGCTCGTACTCATTTTACAAGTGGTTAAAACTTTGGTGATCGACATGAAGACCCATTTTCTTCTCTTGCTTGGACTCAGAGATAACAGATTTGTGCTTAATTCCCAGCCAAGAAATTGGATGGAATGAATTACCATGTTGTAGTAAAGACTTTGTAATCTGGAGACCTTGTGATTATTAATTCAGAGGGGATTCATCAGGGTCTACCTCTGTTGGCTGATTAATCAGAGGATGACATCAAGGTAACTGGGATATTGTTTGGGCCTCAAGGGTTCTTATAGTGCAAATTATTAAATAATTTTTATTATTAAATATTTTTATTATTAAATTGATTTTATTATTAAATTATTAGATGCACTAAATGAAGAATGAGGATTTATTAACTTATTATTAAAGATATTCTGACCAAAAAAGATAAGTTGACATGAATAAGCAAGCACTCTAAACTTGGAGAAAGTAGGTTTAGGAAAAACTTGAGGACCCAAGACTGATTGACAGCATGACACTGAAAATCTTCTGAGTTTCTGGTTACTCACTGTAAAATGCATGTAATGTTCACCTCATGGGTTTTTGTGAAAATTTAGTGATATGCAGAATCTAGACGTGGTCTGTAAGCTACACTTGCAATTAAATATAAAATATTATTATTTTTATTTAAGTTATAATTGCCTTTTGAAGAATTTCCTTAGGTCAATTCATTTACAAATGGTAACATTTAAATTATGATATGCCTTGCCTACATTTTCATGGAATGAACAGGGTATTAAAAAATGTTCTACATATCAAACCCTCCAAAACAAATTAGCAAGTATGATCAAGTATTATGTAGATGGTTAGGGGCTTGCAGGACAATGGTGACTTTCGCACCTTTGTTTTTATTGAGTTGTAAATTGGGACCCCTTTTGTTTATTACATGATCATCCATCTTAGTAACTGGCCTTGCCTTGCACCTTTAATAGAGTTTGATAAGAGTCAGTTAGATTTATAAGCAATGACTTTACACCTAAGGGTGGGATATGAAACTCCTGGACTATTAGTGAGCAAAAGATATTTTAAATTACATAAAAGTGTTATACAGCCTTCAAGTAAGAAAATAAACATTTCTAGGTTATTCAAACATTTTTTAACATAATTTTTGAGGGGGTATAATTTTAGATTTACAAAACTTTATACCTTCAATTTTTGTTTTTAAAATAATGGTATTAATATATCCTATGGCTTTGGACAAATAGATTTACCACTTGACCTCAGTTTCTGGTTCCATAAATCAAGGGGTTTAGACTGAGTGAGTATGAAAATCTCTTCTAATTAGAACTTCGTTGACCCCATTATTAATAGTTATTTAATGAACTGATGTTGGAAAATGAGAAGCAGCAGTGTTGCTGCCTCAGATTTGGGCAGGGTTCTCTTGATGTTGGCAGTGTTGTTAATATGGCAACACATTCCCTGTTCATTCATATAGGTCACCAGGAATTTATGAGGAAAGAATGCAAATTTTTTGAGGACCAAGTGAGTTCCAGAGACCTTCAAACAATGAGACTAATAATAGTGAACAGTCATTGAGAGGTCTCTGTGCCCCAGATGTGTACCTTACCTCATTTGATAGTCACAACATTCTAGCAAAAGCTCAGTTTATCACCCTACATTTTCAATTGAAATTAAACCGGGTTAAGTGATTTTCCCAGGCAGAAAGTGACTGAGCCAGAATTTGAATCTGTAGTGTCCTGGATTCAGAATGTGAACTATTCACCTTTACAACATTCTGCCTATTTCTAGCTGCAGTTTCTATCCTAAATAAATCATTTCTGATTGTATTATATCTTGATTACACATTTCAACTAGAAATTTAGTTAAACACAAAACAAAACAAAACAGCAACTCAGTAATTAAGACCAGAGTTCTGTCTGCTTTTCCTTTTAAAATATCTTACCATGATATAATCAGACTCTAATGCTACATGGTTATTAAGGAAATTTTTCTGTTATCAGTTTTTTTGTGTGTGTAGGAGTACTTGATTGTTCCATTTATTGCAATCTATGTTCCATACCTAAGATGGCAAAACCCTAACTCTACAACAGTAGCCAAGCAGACACTCTGAAAAGTACGAAATGAATTTGAGATTCTACAAAGAATCTCCACATTTTTTTTCACCAGAAAAAAAAAATTGTTTTCTCACAAGGTTCTGCTAACAGAAATATCTGAGATAACAGAATCAGTAAACTATTACCTTCGAGGCCAAAATACATTCTAAATAAGTTATGTTACTGTTGTCCAAACCATGTATTAATAGGTAGAGGAACTATACTCTAGGTAAGTGGGAAGAAGGATCACCAAACATTGAAGTTTGGAGGGCAGCAGGCAGATGGGGAAGAGGTTGTCTCTACAGCCTCAGAAGTGCAATTTATCTTCATGACATCAGTTAGATCTTCATTGCTCAGGTCCCAAACCTTGACCTAATACCCTGAGAGGGCTTCATCCCGCAAGATTGGATTTACTCTATTTACAAGAGAAACTGGTGTATAATTCACAGCAACTTAATACATTTGCAATTGAAACTATAGTGATACAGCCAACTGGACAGCTCATTGTCTCCATTTAGAGCAATAGTTCATACCTGTAACACTGCCTGAAAAGAGCTTCCACAGACAGGAAACACTCCCGGTAATGAAGAATGTCTGCATGGACTGCATGATAAGGGTTTTGTGCAATTGTTAAAGCATGAGCTCTAACTTTACCTCTTCTGTCTTAAGGATTCTTTAACATAGCACCGTGGCTTTACCCCTGCTACAGAGAATTCTATAGGAAAATCCCATTGTAATCAAAGGATTGCTTTGTGATTATTGAGATGCTAACAGATGATTTTGTCATTTATTTGTATTTTATGTAATCAGCTAATGATATTTACATACATCTTTCTCTATGTCTACTGTGCCAGGGACATGAATGCTAAGTCAGGACAACCATACCTCTGAGGACAGTCCTTGGATGATATCTGCAAAAATTGCCTCTGTAATTATTATGATTTTTTTCAATCTAAGATCCATTGTTAACCAGCTCCCATCTTGACTGCCGTTTTTTTTTGTTTTTGTTTTTGTTTTTGTTTTTAATGGAGTCTCGCTTTGTCCCCCAGGCTGGAGTGCAGTGGCGGGATCTCGTCTCATTGCAACCTCCACCTCCTGGGTTCAAGCAATTGTCTGCCTCAGCCTCCCGAGTAGCTGGGATTACAGGTGCTTGCCACCACGGCCAGCTAATTTTTTTGTATTTTAGTAGAGACAGGGTTTCACCATCTTGACCAGGCTGGTCTTGAGCTCCTGCCCTCGTGATCCACCCACCTTGGCCTCGCAAAGTGCTGGGATTACAGGCGTGAGCCACCGCACCCAGCCGTTTACTGCCGTTTTTTTATATTAATATAATCAACTACTTTTGACTAAGTCAGGTAACTGGTCTCCCTTTGTAGAGAAACTTTGAAAACATCTTTTCTCATTTATTTTGCTCTTACTCCAATTTTGCTCTAAGAAGACAAACACATTTTCCTTATTTTGAACTTGGCAGTAGGAGAAGTGGACTGCTGTTGCTGCTTTGTTTTTTTCAGCTTGCTATTTTCCATAGCCGTGCTGTAATTAATAATCTTTTGTAGTCAATAGTTTCTAACTATTCAGTTATCCCAGTTATCCATGGGATTCTTAAAAAAAAAAAAATTGTCCCAATATGCTTTAGAACTGAACTGCACTTCCTGCCTGCCTGTCTGCCTTCCAGTGTTGTGCTTTTCCATCTCTCTCTCCCTTCTTCTGTTTTCTCTTCTTTCTCTTTTTTTCCCTTCCTAAGTTCTTCCCTTCCTTCTTTCTTTGAGAATAATTCAGGCCAAAAGATGTTTTGGGGGGTCAGACAAATTAGGTAGTGAGTGTGTATGTGTGCATGTGTGAGTGTGTGTAAAGATGTGAGTGGGGATGTGTTTGTGTGTGTGTGTGAAAGGGTGTGAGTGTGAGTTTGTGAATGTTGGATGGCAGGCAGACAGTATGCAGCCTGGAGTGTTGGAGCCCAGGTGGAGTAAGGGGACATCCACCCAGGGAAGGGCGGAGAGGGAAGTAGTCAGTTGCCAGCAAGATGAGATGGAAAAGTGATGGAGGGATTAATCCAATATATAAAGATATGGAGTATAATGGAAGCCAGTTTTCTCACTATTGGAGAAAAGATTGACAGCATATGGAAATAGAAAACATTAGAATAAGAGTTATAATTTTGGCTTGAGATTGAAGGTATCAGTGTAAATCACAATTAAACTGAAAGATACATTAGATATGTTGACGTTCTAACCCCCAGTACCTCAGGATGTGACTATCTTTAGAGATAAGGCCTTTAAAGATGTTTTAAGGTTAAGTGAGGTCATTAAGGTGTGTCCTAATCCAATATGACTGATGTCCTTGTAAGAGGAAATTTGAACACGCAAAGAGAGATGGCGGGTACACATGTGCAGAAGAAAGGACTTCTGCAAGCCAAGGAGTGAATTTCCAGGAAAATCAACCCTGCTGTCACCTTGATCTCAGACTTCCAGCCTTCAGATCCATGAGCAAATAAATTTCTATTCTTTAAGCTACTCAGTCACTGGTATTTTCTTAGGATAGCCCTAGCAAACTAATACTTATTGGTAGATATAAATATGAAAATAAAAATGAATGTCAATATGAGTAGAAATAAATTTAGATATAAATACGCATGCATATACGTATATGTATATCTGTATGTAAATATATATACTCATCTTGTAGCAGGACGATCCACAGACAAGAACCCCTCGGACACCGAGTTGTGGAAGGAAAGGCCTTTATTCAGCTGGGAGCATCGGCGGGCTCACGTCTCCAAAAACTGAGCTCCCCGAGTGAGCAATTCCTGTCCCTTTTAAGGGCTCACAACTCTAAGGGGGTCCATGTGAGAGGGTCGTGATCGATTGAGCAAGCAGGGGGTACGTGACTGGGGGCTGCATGCACTGGTAATCAGAACAGAACAGAACAGGACAGGGATTTTCACAGTGCTTTTCCATACAATGTCTGGAATCTATAGATAACATAACCAGTTAGGTCAGGGGTCCATCTTTAACTACCAGACCCAGGGAGTGGCTCCGGGCTGTCTGCCTGTGGATTTCATTTATGCCTTTTAGTTTTTACTTCTTCTTTCTTTGGAGGCAGAAATTGGGCATAAGACAATATGAGGGGTGGTCTCCGCCCTTAATCTATATTGCCTCGCTCTGTCCACTAAAGAGGGTCTGGGAACTGCAGTCCACCGATACCAGTAAGAAAAATTTGTGTTCTAAATACCTGGTTCTTGGTTGCTAAATGCTGTTCCACACTAAAAGGAACCAGACTTTTTAAAAACATTTTACTTTAAGTTCTGGGATGCATGTGCTGAGCATGCAGGTTTGTTATATAGGTATACATGTGCCATGGTGGTGTGCTGCACCTATCAACCCGTCATCTAGCTTTTAAGCCCCGCATGCATTAGGTATTTGTCCTAATGCTCTCCCTCCCCTTTCCCTCTACCCACTGACAGGCCCCAGTGTGTGGTGTTCCCCTCTCTGTGTCCATGTGTTCTCATTTTTCAACTCCCACTTATGAATGAGAACATGTGGTGTTTGGTGTTCTGTTCCTGTATTAGTTTGCTGAGGATGATGGTTTCCAGCTTCATCCATGTCCCTGCAAAGGAACCAGACTTTTTAGAGAAATAGCTGATTACTAGACCTGGGCAGGGAAAATTCAAGATGTAGTTGGAACATTTTATTTTGTCAAAAAGAAAAGAAATGATCAAAGAATTATAGGGACATATAGAGGAGAGTCAATTTATCAGGCATCCCACTAGAAAACCTTGAGATTTTCACCCAGTAAGTGAAACAAGATAAATCTTGAATATAAACTGATAGAAATTAATAAATGAACAAATCAAATGGTAAGGAATCACATATTTACATCATTTCAAGGTAATATCCTGTAAAATATTTATCAATCACAAATAATAAAGAAGTGACTAACTGTACTGTAAGAAATCTTGGCAGATATGACTTTAGTCAAGTGCTCAAAGTGAACATCATAAGTAATGGAACAAACTAAATCTTGGAACAGCTGATAGAATAAAACAAGGAAAACAGAGCATCACTCTTGTGGCAGTCTTGCCAAAGGCATAAAAGCTGAATATAATCCTGTGAACACATTAGACAAACCCAAATTGAGGAAATACTATAATATAATCGGGCAATCTTCGTAAGTGTCAGGAAAGATTGGGAAATTTCCAGGTTGAAGGAGACTAGTATTGACATGACAGGTAAATATAATTGTGATGCATGATCTTCATTTAGATCTTTTTTTTTTTTTTGAGAACGAGTTTTGCTCTTGTCTCCCAGACTGGAGCACAATGGCAAGATCTTGGCACACTGCAACCTCCACCTCCCGGGTTCAAGCAGTTCTCCTGCCTCAACCTCCCGAGCAGCTGGGATTACAGGGACATGCCACCATACCCAGCTAATTTTTGTATTTTTAGTAGAGACAGGGTTTCACCATGTTGGCCAGGCTGGTCTTGAACTCCTGACCTCAGGTGGTCCACCCGACTCAGCCTCCCAAAATACTGGGATTACAGGCGGGAGCCACCGTGCCCAGCCTAGATCATTTTTTACTATAAAGCTGATTATTGGGATAACTGGCAAAACTTAGATGTGGTCTGTGGGTTACATAATAGTAATATATTCATATTAATGCCCTAATTTTGTCATCATTTTGTAGAAATAATGCAATAAAACATTCAGGGCTGATGGGGCATCATGTCAACACACCTCAAATGATTCAGGAAAAAAATATAAATTTTGTACTATTTTTGTAAATTCAAGATGAAAAAATAAGTATTGCTGTTACAAGTAATTTATCTGTCCATCTGTCCATGTATCTATCCACCAATGTCTTTATCCATCTCCTATTAAAGAAAACTAAAATCAGAAACTTTTTTTGAACTCATATTAATTCTTATATTGAATTTACAAGTTTATGGAGTCTGTTACCTGAGAGTTAGAAAAGATAAAACTCAGGTTCCACTGTTCGTCCAGGGACTGTGATGAGTATTTTCATCTATATTACCTTATTTACATTTATAATAGTTCCAAGAGGTAAGTTTTTGTATATGCATTTTACAGAGTAAGAGGATGAGGCTCTGAGAATTTGAATGGATTATTCAAGGATTCATTCGTTCAGCTCCTGCACATCAGGGCTCAGAATTCAGTGCCTTCTGCCGCCTGGAGTTCTTTCTGATAAATCATGGTAACTTCATCTGGCTTAGGGGGATAAGCTTCAGTCAGGCAGTAAGATTCTCTGGAGCCTTTTTGCAGTGCTAGGGATATGACAACTAAGCAAAGACTTCTGAGAAATTGTCAAGGGAGTCCATAAATTTCAGTGGAAGTAGACCTAGGTTAGCCATTTAATAATGAGAGTTTTTGCCTTGGTTTTGTCAGTTATTTTTTCTTGTGACTATTTAAGAGACTCAGAGACCCAGTTGCTTTATCCCTAAAATGGGCACAACTTCCTGGCCTGTAATTTCATTAGGTGGTTTAAAGAATACATGAGATGATGAGTTAAAAGTGATTTGCACTTCTAAAGGTGCTATATTGACCTAGCATGATGCTGATTTGTATTTGGGTATGAGTTGTCCTTATAATTAGGGTAGAGGTTAGAACAAAGGAATACATTCTCCCTCATAGATGAGTCAATCCATAATCTCCAGGAACTTGTTTTTTTGTTGTTGTTTTTTGTTTTTGTTTTTGTTTTTTCCCCTAAAAGTTTCAGGCTGTGGTAATGCAGTAGAGTGATTGCATAATTGATTCCAATCTTTCATTGTCCTCAATCCATTTCCCCTGCCCTACAACTATGTAACATCCTCCCAATCAGACTCTGAACTCAACCACATGACTTGATTTAGCCAATGGGATATTAACATATGTGACACAATCAGAGGCTTGAAGTCTTGCTGATTGGGTTTGTTCTCACTTGTCCTCTTCTTTACCCTGAAAGGAAATGCTCAGATAAGCAGGTGGTTTCAGCAGGAGGGTGAGAGACATGGAGGAGGGCTAGTTTGCTCTACACATCCATTGCCTTCCTAGATGAGTTGACAGAGAGCTGATCTGTACACATACTTAGCGCACCTAGGAGCTGACAAAACCATCTAATTTACTACCCACAGATAGCTCAGTTCAATAAACACTTATTATTGATAGCTCCTAAACAATACATTGTGATTTTAGTAAGGCATGCATATATACTATGATAAAGTAAAAAGCAAAGTTTCTGTAACTTTAACATGAAACCAGGAGCTTCAATATTACTTTCGTACCTACCAGCTTCCATTTTCAGCATTACCTTCAGATGCCCCTATATCTGCAGCAATCGAGGACTGTATTTCAGAAATAATTAATTTAGGAAATAAAACAGCAACTACTTAAGAGATGCTGATATTGAACTTCCACCTGAAATCTATCCCATTGCACATATATCTAGGGCTCAGTATAGAAAGAAAGAACTAAGTATGACTGTGACCTAGAATACTCCTTGGAAATGGAAATAGTTAAATCATCTAGGAGCTTTTCCTCTGGAATTATGGGAGCTGGTTTCCCTTTTCTTTTTGGATGGGTGGGAGGAAAAGTTTGATTTGAAATATAAACCTCTTTTAGTGTAATTATTTTATAATGTCTTATTTGAAACAATATATACACAGTCATATTTCTTAAATTATTATTATAATTCAAATAAGTAAGGATATTGTAAATCTCCCTTCCAAATTTTTAAAGTAATCTTGCTAATAGCATTTTTTTTTTTTTTTTTTTGAGACGGAGTCTCTCTCTGTCGCCCAGGCTGGAGTGCAGTGGCGCGATCTCGGCTCACTGAAAGCTCAGCCTCCCGGGTTCACGCCATTCTCCGGCCTCAGCCTCCCAAGTAGCTGGTACTATAGGCACCCGCCACCACGCCTGGCTAATTTCTTTTTGTATTTTTAGTAGAGATGGGGTTTCACCGTGTTAGCCAAGATGGTCTCGATCTCCTGACCTCGTGATCCGCCCGCCTCGGCCTCCCAAAGTGCTGGGATTACAGGCGTGAGCCACCGTGCCCAGCCGCCAATAACACTTTTTAAACTCCTGTGCATCATCTGTGTAATGCTATCTTTCTTGCAGCATAACAGACGTATTTTTATTGATCGTAATATATAATATCAACTCTTTTTTTTTTTTTTTTTTTTTTGAGATGGAGTCTGGCACTGTCGCCCAGGCTGGAGTGCAGTGGCACAATCTAGGCTCACTGCAAGCTCCTCCTCCCGGGTTCACGCCATTCTCCTGCCTCAGCCTCCAGAGTAGCTGGGACGACAGGCGCCGGCCACCATGCCCGGCTAATTTCAGTAGAGACCGGGTGTTAGCCAGGATAGTCTCGATCTCCTGACCTCGTGATCCGACCACCTCAGCCTCCCAAAGTGCTGGGATTACAGGCGTGAGCCACTGCGGCTGGCTTATAATGTCAACTTTTAAACTTCATTCCTCTGTAATGGATTTTGCATGGCCACCTTGCAGGTAGAATCAGAAATGTTGCAGTCCTCTTTTGAAAGTGCATAACAAAATCTTGTTTTAAGAGAACAGGTGCTAGGGCTTGTATTCTAACCAAACTCCAGTTCTTAGCAACTGCATTCTAACTGCAGAATTACTCATACAATTTGAACTACACTAGATTTCTTTGTTCATCTCTTCTTAATTAATAATTGCAATGTTAGGGAAATGCAAAAGTTGCATAATAAATACCGAGATAGTTTTTTTTTAAATGATATATGTAGTAAACATAGTTTAACTTAAAAACAACATGGAGCTGGCATCGTCATTAACAAGCTGTGTGATTTTGTACGTGTTACTTTACTTCTCCAACCATTGCCTTCTTTATATGTGTTAATATGGAAAAATGTCTATGATATATGTTCAGTAAAAAAAGCTGAAACAATTGTATTTATGCTCTAATCCTGTGATAATATAGATGGGATTTTAATTATGCAAGTTCCTAAAGTTAGAAATACGTGTATAAAAGTGAGTTTTTATAACAAAAGTATTCCTAGGGTACTAAATACTTATAAAATTAGTCTCCACCCAATCATCCATCTTCACTTAACTTTTCCACTCATATATCATGCATGTGTAAATCATCTCTAACTGATTTCTAAATGTTACATTCCACAAAACAACATAAATGCAGGGCAAATCAAACACACAATGGAATTGCATATCATGTACTACATGCAATATTTCATGGATCTCTCATAGTAAGATTGAAGAATTACTCAAATCCCACCCAAAACTGTTGCCCATCAATTACTGTATTTGAAAAATAGGGGGAAAAAACAAAGAAGAAAGGGAGGAAGGTAGAGAAGGAGGGAAGAAGACAACATGATGATGATAGAGTTGGCACCGCAAAATATTTTCTAAAAATATACCAAAAGATTAAGCAATCTATGCAATCATAAAATTTGTAGAGAAAAATTACTCAAAAGTGTCAGCACATGAGCCATATTTTATTCATTCGTAAAATTATTATATGGAACAATTAAACCTAAGTTTTATTAAATGTAAAACGATATACTATCTACATATTGAGTTTTATATTTCTAATTTTGTTCTTTTTAAAATAAAATAATGCTACATAATTTAATTTTATCCACTTTAAATGGTCTAACTTCATTCATTTTCAGATACAGAAGATCTTCTAGGTCTTCTGTATAGAAATATATACACACCATCTGCACACATACACACATATGTACAAATACATCTATCTATATATGTATGTATATATGTATATATATTCCAGTATATACATACATATGTGTGTATATATATTCCATGTATAGTGTGTATATATGTATGTATATATGTATATATATTCCAGTATATACATATGTGTATATATATATTCCATATATAGTGTGTATATGTATAGACACACATATACATGCATATATGTATATACACTGATGTATATATACATTGATGTATATATGTATGTATATATGTACATATACATATATGTGTGTGTGTGTATATATATATATTTATGCACACACATATATATTCCAGTTTTCAAATGGAGCCAAAACACTGGATTTGCTGGCTTTTTCCCATTCAAGTCTAGAATAGACTCCAGTTCTCCCTCAGCTCCAACATGGATGTTTTTGAACAGTCAGGGAAGTTATAGATCCATGGTCAGTATTTCACAGGGCACTTGGGATATCTAGCTATGTTTAAGTATGTACAATTAGTAACAAGAGGAGATAAAGCAGAAGAAACTAATGGGGTTGCACTTTGAGTGAACTTTTAATAATTCAGATTGAAAGATAGACTTATTTTCAAATTGGCCTGTGATATGAATAGTGTGGTACAGGAAAGAAGATCAGAGGATAACCTAGAACCTGGAGGACAAAAAAAGAAGTGACTCATGCCACGTTTTTTTTTTTTTTTTTTTAAATCATGGAAGGAATTCTAGGAGATAATAATAAAACCACACCCAGTAAGATATATAACTGGTTATGAAATTCTTCCAAATTATATATTCAAGGTTATATATTTTTGTCTAGTAAAATTGACCAAGCAACAAGTGCCCATTTTGCTTTGTGAGAGAAAATTGCATCAATTTTTGGATACCTTAAAAGACCTCATTAAAAGAGACTATTGAAAGATTATTATAAATTTCTAGCCACAACAAGGGAACTTTCCTTGACTAATTAAGGCAATAATCTCGTGCCAGAAGGGCCTGGACAAGGGTTATTTCTTTCCGGGTTGTCTTCTGGTTCAATGGCATAATAGATTACAACAATTGACTGATCTATCTCATTGATACTTATTGTCTGAATAATCATGGCCTTGTTACCTATAGCTTCAACAATAGCAATAATAAGACAAACAAAATACACAAATACATTCTGTCTCTCACACACACACACACACACACACACACACACACACACGCACACGCACAATCCAGCCTTGGAAATTTAAGAACTTGTCCAGTCGGGCAAGGCAGGACCTGGAAAAACAGAACCAAATAGATGTGTTCAGGAGGAAGTCCAGTGAAACAGGCAAGTGGATAAGAGGCAAAGACATAGACAGCGTACAGTTCAGGCAGGTAATAAGCATGAAGAAGGAGACAGCAGTAAAACATAAATAAATTAATTAATTAATTAAAACAAAAAGCATCCTGGAACCCAAAAGCACAGGCAGAAAGCAGAAAAGAGGTATCTAAGAAGCAATGGTCTGGAATCCAGGCAGAAGGCGTGTGGTCAGCACCAGAGAGCACAATCAGCGGACAATCATGCTTTGGGCCATTTAAAAGAAATACATTTAAATTTTACACATGCAGCTCTTGGATGGCATTGGGTGAGTGCAAGACAAAGCCCTCACACTGGGCAACCTGTCAACAACATGGAACAGTGGAACTGGAACTGACTTTGGAGTCCAACAGTGCTGAGCTCATACCTTCACTCCAGCATTTACAAGTTGTAGATGAGTACAACTTGTACAGTTAACCTCCTCATCTGTAAACTGACTAATAACATCTCTTTGCTCATTTGAAGATTAGACAAAGTAATATACATGTGTAAAACACAAAGGATAGTGCTCAGCATATAACAAGTGTTTATAGTTTATGAATTTTCTTTAGAGCTAGGGAAAAAAATGAGTTTAAGAGCAGGTTAACCACAAGAAATTTATGACTGAATTCAATGTGCATCATAAAATACATTAAATTCTTGTTGCCCATACTTACAGAGTTGAAGTTAGAGCTGATTCTAGCAGACAATGGGTGAGACACGAAATGGTTTCAAGTAATCCTGGGTCTGCACAGGGAGGTGGGAAATGCAGAGGGTAGGGAGCCAGACAGGAGAGTTGGTTTTATGCAGAAAATGCCAGCAGATTGATTTTCTAAAGTAAGAGATTTTTAATTCAATTCCCTTTGCACCTCTTCCTCTGCCTGAGATTCTGCTATATTACACTCTAAAATAGCTATTATCACTATCTGTTACAAAGCTGATGCAGAATAATTGAGCATGTCCCTGGAGAAATTACACAAACAAATTCCTTAATTCTGCAGAATTATGCAGGGCCCGGAGGGGATTCCTCATGCTCCCCTACCTTCTCATCAATGTTGGATAATTAGTTTTCTGTCTGAGGCATATTTATAACATCAGTGGAGTTATCAGTGGTCAATAAGGTGATGCTTGGGTGCCAATAATTGGGAAACTTGACATTTTCCAATTAGATGAATTTCTCAGTGTTGATTGAAAGATCCAATACCGGTCACCATTTTCTGCATTATTTTCTGGGTAGCTCAGTGGGACACACTGAGAGAGTATGGATTAGAAGAGACAGGGGCCAGAGAAGGGGGTTGGTAAAAATAAGGATTGTGTTGCTGGAGGCAGCAAAACATATTTTCCCTCATCTAAAGAAATTTCCCAAGAGATGAACCAGAATGCAAATGATCTGTGCTGAAGTCCTCGAGTAGACTGTGAGTTTCCTCTAGTTCAATGTGTAATATGAACTCCTAGCATAATGCTTGCCACATAGAAAGCTCTAAAAATATTCCGTTTATCTTTGGTGAAAGGCTGGAGGGAAAATGGTATATTCAACATTAATAAATATTTAACATTTAAAAAATTTTTCCTTTTGTAATTTACCCCATTGTCTACCTCCAGTGAAGACTAATTGCTAGAATACTTCAGCCTGCCAATGAGAAAACATGTTCAGCAAGGGAAGTCGGGATAGTAATGTCCTGTATTACCCTTGCTGGAGGGTTCTGTAACTATCCATTTTGTCTTACTTCTGCCCGGCCATTTCACTCCACTGACTGGTTCTATCATATTTCCATTTCCCAATAGGACTCTTCTTTCCATTAAATCCAGTGGCTTTGCTAGGGAATGAAAAGACTTGGGTTATGACATAGGGTTGTCATGGGCTTACATTGCAGCTGCACCTCTCTAACTTAATTGGGTGACTCCAAGATTCCTTTGTGTTTTTAGGATCTTTTCTTTAATGATATCTAATTCCTTGGGTTGTCCTATGTAATTCATGTGTAATAAACATGGAATTGTGCAAGACCCCAAGTTGAAAGCATCAGTTAGGAGTTAGACCATGTAAAACCTATGGAAATAATGAAGTGTTTCCTCCATTAGCTAGAAATTGAAGGAGTATATCTTGAAGATGTGTTGCAGGGCTAACATTCTAGGATGCTAACATTCTATATCAGAAAATCCAGTACCTACGCCCAACTTCTTCACTCATATGCTGCAGAAATACAGAAGAAATGTACCTCCATACCTGGGACTTATTAGCATTCGGGTACTTGGTTTCAATCCTAATCTGAGACATACTACCAGATCCCCACACCCTCCCCTCCCCCAAAAATTAAAGCTTGCATTTCCAAACTATTGACAATACCAAAGTCTGTTCTCATTAACGATTCATTAAATATCCAATGACATAATATTTGCCTTAGACAACACAAAGTAGAGTATACCATTATGGGTTGCTTAAATCACAAATTGAGCTGACTTCAAGCAATGACTCCCATGAGATTAAAATACAGTATTTGAGGAAGTAGCATGCAGAGATAAATGGAATGCTTACTAAAGAGAGAGAGAAAGAGTTTACAATACCACTTTTGGTATAGAAACAAGAATCTAAGGGAATAAATCTGCTTTTTCAAGTACTATTTTTAACATTTGTTACATACACTTTGTATTTAAAAAAAATCTCCTGACATTTATGGTTAAGAAGTAGCTTGCAAAATCTTTCTCCAGTTCTCTCATAGAGGAGGAAAAAAGTCTGTAAATATTTTCAGAAGACAAGTATGCCTGTAATACTATGAAATGAGATTAAGTTACCCTACTAGTAATATGATCTTTGCATTGGAAGCAAATTCCTTTTTGTGATTTTTTTCCTGAGTTGGTTATACAGCAGACTAGATGACGATGATAAAGGTATCAAGGTCTAAGTTTTTATTTTTATTTTAAAATACTGTTTTTTTTTTTAAATCAGATACATGAGGCCACACAAAACAACTACCTAGCTTAATGAACTGTTTCAAGTCAAATAGCTTTGCAACCACCATAGCGGTCAATGAGTAACTTTGCCAGCCAGCCCAGAATCCCTGTCCCAAGTGCTTCGTCTCAAACCCACCTACCTCTCTGCCCTACAACCTAGCCTGACTTTTATAGTACTTGCTGCCTTAATACTTTTATATTTTTATAATTCAAATATGCATCCATAGACACTAGAGTTTATCCAACTATTTTTTTTCTATTTGGTTATGTCTTTTGTGTCTTTTTTAGTCTACATGTTCATCCACCATTCTCTTCTTTTTTTTAATTTAAAAACACAATTCATTGTTGAGGGACTGGGCCCATTCGAACTGTAGTTTCCCACAGCCTGGAATTCGAGATTGCAGTCTCTCTGAATCCAGCCAGGCCTTCATGACTTTAGCAGGACTGTAGGTGGAGTTGCTTTTCTTCAACAGGTGCAAAATGCATAAATCCACTAAATAATTGAGGGTTGAAAATGGTGATATTCAAAATCCATATTTTTTTTTACATATTAGTTGAAATAATTCTGTAGGAATCACTTGCTCTCATCTCCTATTTAGTTACCCAATGATATTGTTCATATAGGAAAGGCAGGATAAAAGCCAGATATTTACCAGTTTTCAAGATAATGATTTTTTTCCTATCATCTTTGAAAGGTGATCATTTTTTTTAACATGGCAGTATGAACACATGGATTTAAACTTACTTATTTGATGCATTTTAATACATTGCAATTGTTAACCTTGTGGAAGCTAAAATTGTCTCTTATTTGAAGATGATATTTTCTATTTAAAAAATGCTGACTAATGTGTATTGACTGATAACTTTTTTGAGTACTTTATATGTATTATTCAGCGTAATGCTCCCAGAAGTCCTCAAAGTATCCTTTCACAAATTAGAAAGCTGAAACACAAAACATTTCAGTAATTCTCCAAAGTTCTCTTAGCTAGATGAGATAAAACTGCAATAGAAGTCAGGGCTACCTTCTTGATCCTGCTGCATTTATTATGGTACAAGCTTACTAATCAAATTTTTTAATTTTCAGATTTAGTTTTTGTCTCCTATAGCAAAAAGATGTATGTGAGTTATCAAATCTACATTTATGCCCATTTTACCAAGGAAATGGAGACTTAGAGAAGTTAAGTGATGGGTTCAAAAACATATAGTATATGTGCCTCATAAGAGACAAAGACCAAACTCTAGCCTTGGGCCTCCTGTCCTTTGAAGCAGTATTGTCCTTCCCATGGAGTGATCACTGAAGTGATTGGAGATAGTTGACAATGTACCTCCACATGATGTCACAGGCCCAGTCCCGGTGGCAAATCTGCTTATCTGTTTCCAAGTAGAGAAAAGTGATCACACACAAACACACACACACACACACACACACACCCCTTTATGGGAAGAGAAGAATGCACAGTTTTACAACAAATAGCAGTGCTTCATGAATGTTGCAATTCTAAAGATCAAGTCAGGAACCTTTCTAAAATGAAGGCAAATGGAATTGTATGCAGGTTATTGTCCACAGCGGTCATAATATCTCAATGTCTGATATTCTCTTGAAGTTTATATTTTTAATTATTGTACTTTCTACACAGCTTCAGCATTTTTTTTTTCTAAAGACAAACGAATAGGTAGGAGGATAACTAGTGAGAACCGCACCCCCCACACAATCACCACTTCATGTTTTCTAAGATGGGTATATTTGCAAAAACATGTATGGATCTAAATTCTCTTTTATATCATATCCATCTTTCTTTGGAGTCTACAGTGCATCCATGATCATTGTGTACCCCTGAGTTACTAATTTCTTTTATAAATAGAAGGGTTTGCTGAAGAGAATTTTTCAGTGCTGATTTCTGAAGTTGCTTGTTATTTAGGTATTTTTGATTAGGTCTCAAGAAAAATATATGGAGTCTTTAAGATGTTTGGAATAGAAGTGCCTTCATAGCTGAATGCGAAAGAATCCATGGACACTTATTTGTTATATATGCTGGGAGCTGGTGCTCGGAATACCTCAGAGAATAACTCACGGAAGTCTGAATGAGTAGGGTGGGGGAATACTGAAAATAAAGTTTCTTGTTAGATACTTGAACTAATAAAAGTTTCTCCCACAATTACTCAGTTCTAACACTGGATTAAGGCACATCCCCCTCACCTCATGATATTTAAGTACATGTATACTTGCCATAAATACTCTGTTTATCTGCAAGATGTAATTAGATCTCTAAAAAAGTGACAGTTCACAAGACAGTTATGATATTTCAATTTAGTGCAAACCTGTAGATTTAATTGCCTCAAATAACAACACAGATTGTATTTCAAACTCTTCAGGATTCAGGATCATCTGTTATATGTTAGTACATTATTACACGGCATACTGTAAGACTGGGTTTACAACAAACAGATGCACCAAAATGCTATGCTTCCCAAAATGTGGACTTTAGTTTTTACAGGAAGGTGAATTAAAATTAAGATGCAGATGAGCTTCTTGATTTCACAGTATGTTTTAAGTGGAATTGCCTTGGGAATGAAAACTAGCCCCAGCACAGTAGGGTGACTATCACGGACAGTATTGTATTTTATATTTCAAAATACGTAGGAAAGATGATTTTGACTGTTCTCAAAGAAATTATCAACGTTTGAGGTAATGGATAAGCTAATTAATGTGATATGATCATTACACAGCATATACCTGTATCAAAACATCACACTGTACCCCGTGAATACATCCAACGATTATGTGTCAATTAAAAATAAAGTAAAACTTTACAAAATCAAATGAGCTACTCTGAAGCATTTGCAATGACTTCATAGTTTAAACTGGGATAGAATCTCAAACTAGAAAAGGGCAAGGAGCCTGTTCTCACTAACCATGTCACTCTTGGAGCAGATGGCCTTTCCTGAAGGCTGCGACATTTTTTGCATATCCCTTTATTTCAAAGGCTGTTATGGTCATGAAATGGAATAATGTGAGGACCCCTAAGGGAGCTCAGGCATGTTCAGAAATACTTGATGAGATTATCTTCCAATATGAATGTGCAAGGAAGTGTTTTAATTCTAGTCATAATTTAACAAGATGAAATCAAGCTAAAGATGTAATATATTAATTGGATCTTGTGTAACCACTAAAAGCAGTGCTAGAGACCTCTACATATTGATGTTAAGACATGAACGACATGTGAATTTCTATGTGAAAAGAGCAGTTATGAGGACGGTTTGTATGATAGTTGGGTTCTTCCTTTACACACACCGTCCTCATGCTGTCTGCTGTTATACTTTGTGTTTGCCTCCCTGCAGTGGCCCAGCCTCTGAAATGTTTTGCCTTCCTCCACTCCCTCACTGTGTTCTAGTCCCCTAAAAACTCAAATGACTTTACTCTGAATATCTGGGATCTGACAAACCAATTGCCATATGGCCAGTCCATATTTAGAGGAGATATTGTGAGATCTCTAATCTGTTGCTACCACTATTACTCATGAGAACAAAGATCCCTCCTACTATTTCTTAGTTTTTTCTATAGATTAACCTTATTCTCTGGTCTACAATTATAATCATAGTTTTGCAAATACAGATTACTCATTCTATTTTAGTTCCAGGGTGGCAAATTCTCAATGCTATTTAAACCCATTGTCCAGTTTCTCTATATCCACATCCAAAAGAGCAGAACATTGCTGGAGAAAACCTCTTAAACAGAAGATGGGCTTTACTTTGTATTAAAAAATGAGTCAACTCTGTCTAATAATCTTACCACAATTGTGTAAAAAACTCATTTTTATACTGTAAAGAAAAATGAATTCATAGAGCTTCTTTTTTTCCTAAAAGCTACTGACCATCCTAAGTACTTCTTGAGACAAGGGAAGACTTTGTATTTCATGAGGTAATGGAAGATCTAAATGGAAACTTCCTCATCCTCCCAACAACTAACCTCAAAATCCATTTCCTCAATGTCTGTCTTCTCATTTTGCCCTTCTGTTAAAATTAACTCAGTGATCTGCCTTCTACCAATGGCCAGTGCGTTCATAGTTTGATTCCTTTCATGCATACTTGCTCAATGATTTGGCCATTTATCCCTTCTTTCTGTTGAAACATACATATCCCTTTCTTAAATGGTCATTGATAACATTTTATAAACGTAGTTTAGAATTTCTCATTTTTGAAAAAGAAAGAAAAATCTTATTTCCTTCTCATTTATTTCCTGCTACCACCCTATTTCTTCTACCTGTTGTTTTTCCTATACCAATATTTCTCTAAGAAGTCATTTATATATTCTGTCACTAACCTCCTCTCTTCATTCTTCAACCATTGCAACTTGGATTTCTCTCAGACCACTGTATGAAGCTGCTCTTGTCAAGGTCACCAAATTCAGTTGCCCCGTATTTGTCTTCATCTTCTCACCTCACAGCTTCATTTGACACATTTGATGATGTTCTCCTATTTAAAACACTTTCTGGTTTTTGGTTACATCTCACTTTTCAGGATTCTTCCTGTCTCTCAGGCTGTATTTCACAATCTAACTTGAAGCCTATTTTTTTTTCTATTCTCAATCTTAAAATTTTCAAATTCCACAGGGCTCCTTCACTTTCCTTTCTACTGCCCTCTCCTATGTTATCTCATTCCTTCCCAGGGAGTTAAGTTACAATCTTAGACATGGTGAAGATGTTTCTGGCAGTGTGCTCTAGAGCTAGTTAAATTCTGGGTAAGCCTGGTGAATCTAACAGTAAAGTTGAGGCATGAATCTAGTTGCTACTGGTAAGGACTTCATCTCTCTCAGAGACTGCTGTAAGCATGGGTATAGTGTGAGAAGTGGGCATGTGAGCTGCATTGGCTGGCGGCAGCCCTCTTGGTAAATGCCGACCAATGGCATCTGCCCTTCTTCTCTCTGTGGCCTGCTTTGCCCTTTCTGTGTTGTCTGGTTTGTCTGGTGAGAATGTACCTTTGCTGCTATAATTTTCATTAGGCAAATATTTCTCTTTATTTAAACTTTTAGGTTCAGGGGTACATGTGATGGTGTGTTACATAGGTAATCTCCTGTCATAGGGTTCTGTTGTAGAGATTATTCCATCACCCAGGTATTAAGACCAGTACCCCATAGCTGACTTTTCTGCTCCTCTCCCTCCTCCAAGCCTCCACCCTGAAGTAGATCCCAGTGTCTGTTTTTTCCTTGCCTGTGTTCCTAAGTTCTCATCATCTAGCTCCTACTTTTAAGTGAGAACATGCAGTATTTGGTTTCTGTTCCTGCATTAGTTTACTAAGGATAATGGCCTCCAACTCCATCCATGTTCCCACAAAACACATGATCTCTTTCTTTTTATGGCTGCATAGTATTCCATGTTGTACATGTACCACATTTTCTTTATCCAGTCTGTCATTGATGGGCGTTGAGGTTGATTCCATGTCTTTGCTATTGTGAGTAATGCTGCAATGAACTTACACATGCATGTGACTTTATGGTAGAATAATTTCTATTCCTCTGGGTATATACCCATAATGGGATTACTAGTTCGAATGGTAGTTCTGCTTTTAGCTCTTTGAGGAATTGCCATACTGCTTTCCACAATGGTTGAACTAATTTACACTAGCATCAACAGTGTATAAGTGTTCCCTTTTCTTCACAACCTCGTAAGCATTTATTTTTTGACTTTTTAATAATAGCCATTCTGACTGGTGTGAGATGGTATCTCACTGTGATTTTGATTTGCATATCTGTAATGATCAGTGATATTGAGCTTTTTTTTCATATGCTTATTGGCTGCATGTATGTCTTTTTTTGAGAAGTGTCTTTTCATATCCTCTGCTCACTTTTTAATGTTTTTTTCTTGCAAATTTGTTGAAGTTCCTTATAAATGCTGGATATTAGACTTTTGTCAGATACATAATTTTCACATGTTTTCTCCCATTCTCTAGGTTGTCTGTTTACACTGTTGATAGTTTCTTTTGCTGTGCAGAAGCTCTTAAGTTAGTTCCCATTTGTTGATTTAGCATTTTTTTTCTTGATCATGAGCCTGACACTGGTATGGGTGCTGGGACTGAGACAATAATAACAGTTAACCCTGACATAGAATTTACTTTGTGCCAGACATGTTTCTAAGTCCTGTAATACGTGAATTTATTTAATCCTCACAAATACCACATTTTACAGATGAGGACACGTAGACTCAGTGAGGTGAAGTAAGTTTCCCAAGGTCAAAAGGCTGGGAAGTGGCAGAGCTGGCTTTGCACCCAGAAGGTTTGGCTCCAAATCCTTGAAGTCACCAGCTGGTGAGAAGAGACACAACACTCGCTACATTACAAGGTGGTAAAAGATGAAAGAGAGGTTTGGAACACGTGGAGCTCTAGGGAGGAAGGTCCTTTCTCCACCTGGGAATGATTTCCAGAGGCAATAGCCATTTGGGCTAGGATTTGACATTTCTAACAAAGGAGTAGAAACAATCTCACAAGAGAGAAATGCATTGCAAATTGCAGAAACAAGGAAGGGTGTGGCCATCTTGAGGCACTTCGAGACTTTCATGGTGGCTAGAGGATAAGCTTGTGTTGCTTTTGCTGTGAGGAAGGAGATGGCTCAGAATGATGCAAAGTCACCAGCTTGGCCATTAGCAGGCTCAGCTCAAGTGCCTATTGCCTGAATTACCATTCTTCCTTATCTCTACAAGGCAGTTACACAAGAAAAACCCCTTGGGTGTCTCTCAGCTAAGATTTTTTTGTAGTTATAGAAAACCTCCTAAACCCTAAGCCATGACTCAGCTTTCCTGCAGATTAATCTAGATGATCTAAGCCTAGTTCTGTCACTGCACATAACTCAGGCCCCACCTCCTATTGCATACCATTTAAAAGCAGGGTGAGCAGCAATCAAGACCTGCTGGAACTGAGGGGGTTCCTCGATTGCATTACATTAAGTACTGAAATATGGTAATTGCAGACAAATCAGGAAGAATGGGATAAACTATCTGAAGTCTACCTGATGTGCCAGAAATAAGATGCATGACAACTCATAATGCAAAGACGTCAAATTCGCATTTCTCTAAAGTATAGAATAACTGTTAAATAAATATAGAGATGCTCATTTTAGTTTTACATTCTTTTAACCTCTACTATTCTAGTTATTTTCTCTTATCAGGTTTGTGTTGTCTAACAGGTCTGCTTCCGAGCTTAACCTCATATTCTTGGGCATTTCTCTCCCTATCGGATATATAGTCTTCCATGTTTTTGTTATTTTCTACAAAGGAAAGTGCTCTATTTTTTGATTATTTAAATATTACATGTTCCTTCTAAAAATATTAAATATATAAAAAACATAACAAAAAATTCAAAATCACATGAAATTATATTACTCTGAGATAACCACCATTAATAATTTGTTGAACATACTTGCATTTGTTTGTGCATATGCATATTTTTGTATGCATGCATAAAATTTCATAAAATCGTATTATTACTCCTTCCTAACTTATTTTCCCCTCTCATCTATGTATTTTTTTTTCTCTTTCTTCCTAATACCATCCAGCTGATCATGGTAACCACTGTTGATTTCTTGGAGCATAGACTTCAGTTGAGTTCAGGTCCTCAAGATGCAGATTCCAAGACAGGATTATATGTGAATAAAGATGTATTTAGGGAATTACCTACACAAGATAAAGGGAAGGAAGGAGAAGTTGAGAGGAGCCTTTAAACAGGCCTGACTTCCATGAAGGAAAAGAGAAAGTCTGAGACTACCGTCTAGTTCTGAAAAAGTTTGGCTAAGCCGAGGGGGATTCATTGAACCAAACTCACCCAGTTGAGTACTTACAACTTGAAGGAATGGGCCTCTATTATGAGCCATGCTGTGTCCAGTCATCAGGTGCTAGTAGCCTGTATGAAGAGTGGTCTTAGTATGAACAAGGGTTGGACCCAGAAGGACAGCAGCTGGTACGTTTCCTGCAACCCAGAAGGACAGCTTGTATGTTTCCTACAGCAGATCTGAGCAGCATGTAGCTTCCTTCATATTTGTATGGCAAAGTGCAAATGCACATGCATGCATAATGGTCCTTAGTCATTGTTTTTACAAATATAAAATCATTTTATGTACACTAAATATTGCTCTTGTCACTAAACAGTATCAATGGAAAGTCATCCAAGTGCAGCAAATATAGGACTCATTCTTTTCAAGGGACACCATACTTTCCAATACTTATATATCCAAATTTACTCAAGCCATTTGTTATTAATGAGAATTCTCTTGAGGCCTAAATATAAAGTATTAAAACACTTGTAAATAAAAAATTTACAAGTTTTGTTTTGCTTAAAATTAGGAATTTAATATATATATATAGTAAGTCAGTTGTAACACTTCCATTTTCCTTGAGCTTCCAAAATTTTGTTGACATCAATTTTTTTCATTGTCATCATCTTTCCTATTAAGTTTATCTTCAAGTATTCATGTTTTTAAAGATATATATACTTAATCTTTTTAATTCTCATTTTTGCTTTGAGGAATAATTAAAAATAAAAATGTGTTAATATATCATATTTCATGATTTATTGTTACATATTAACTTTTAACTTATTTTTTCCAGTTTTTAAAAAGTTGGTATTTTATTTGCAATTTTATATTAAGAACTGATTTGATTTTCAGGTGACTGACATTTTTATTATTTTTTATTGTATCCAAGAATAAGATATGTCATTACTTAAGTTCAGGCTATGTTTTATTTCTTTCAATAAGATTTAATAATTATTTCCTCATATGTTTTATAACTTTCTTATTAAATTAATTCTTATGTATATGATAGTATTATCACTTCTGAGAACAGAATGTTTTCCATTTTTACTTATATTTTGGATAAGTATCATATATCCAACTACCTTAAGTGTTCCTTTATTAATTTGATTGCTTCTTTAATTGGCCATCTTGTTTTATCTAGATTTATTATGATATTTTCAGTAAAATTATAGTTTTATTTTTCTTTCAATCTTTATCTGAATTTATTAAAAATGTTAATCATATTTTATGTAACTATAGTATTAATAGACACTTCCATCTTATCCATATCATAATAGAAATGGCTTTAGTATTTTGGTTTTTAAAAGTTGTAAGTTTTTGTGAAATGTCTCATATTAAAGAGTATTTCCTCTTTTTCTATTTTAATTTCATTTTAAATAAGAAACGACTGGTTTATTTAATTAAGTAATGTTTTATGTATTGAAATAATTATATGACTCTTTTTCTGTTAGTTTTTCAATGATGCATGAGTCTTATAGGTCCCTAATATATTAACTAAATCATTATTGTGTTCTACCTGGTAGTATTTATTGAAGATTACTGTATCTTTGCAGACATAGATCTATTTCTAATATACCAATATTCCTGTTCTATAATTTTCTTTCTTTTACTCTCTTTACTGGGATTGATTTTTCATTTCATGCCTGCATTAAAAATGAATTGATAAAGTGTCCATCTCTTCCTATAGTCTGTAAAATTTTAATTATCTTTGTAATTGTCTGCTATTTAAAAAGAAAGCTAGACTTAGGAAAAGGAAGTATGTTGTTTTAATGCCTCTTGGGGGAGGAAGGGATAAAATCTTTAATCATTTACTTGCACCTTCCACCGTAAATGGCCTATTTAAATTTGCTGCTTTTTGTTGTTGTTGTTGTTAACTTTGCTGCTTTAAAATTTACAGTATGCCATCATTTTTACCTGGCCTTTAAAATGTATTGAAATATTTGGCCAGGCACCATGGCTCACGCCTGTAATCCCAGCTCTCTGGGAGGCTGAGGTGGACGGATCCCCTGAGCTCAAGAATTTGAGATCAGCCTGAGTAACATGGCGAAACCTCGCCTCTACCAAAAATACAACAAATTAGCCGGGCATTGTGGTAGACACCTGTGGTCCCAGCTACTTGGGAGGCTGAAGTGGGAGAATCGCTTGAGCCTGTGAGGCAGAGGTTGCAGTGGGCCAAGATGGCACCACTGTGCTCCATCCTGGGTTTTGTATTTCTTCCCAACACTCCCATCCTTAAAATGGATCCTAACCCTTGAATTTCAAGAAATATGCTAGATCCCAATCACATTTCTCAGTTTTGCTTAAACCAGATTTGTCTATTCCAATTCTCCACCATATTCTCTGTCTCATGCAGACTTGCATGTGTAAAATAACCTTAACTGTAATATCTAGAGAAATTGAGAGGAAAAGACATAGAGGTGAGGAGATGTCAGCTCCTGAAAGATTTTTAACCATCATAAGCCATTTGAACTTCAATATGAGGGCAATAGGGGTAGGGCATAGAACTATATTAAGCACCAAAGTTACTTAATGAGACTGGTTTATTTTAAATTCTCTACTTCTTTTCTCTTAAAGTGGTCGTTAATAACATGCATCTTGGAATTAGACAAACCTTCCTACATTTATTTGATTTATGACTTTAAGCCTGAGGTTCCATATCAATAAAAATTGAGACACTAATTTTGTTTTCACAAGGGACATCTGAAATATTACGGTGCTAAATTATGTGCACAGTGCTTATTACATAGTAAACAATCAATAAATGATATTCAATCAACAATCACCATCATCTTCGTCTTCATCATAGTTTCTATCTCTATTATGTTACAGATATAGGTAAATGTGGTCTTTTTAGTGAAGCATATAGATTTTTCCCACAGTCTTGATTGGAAAAGTGAGAGTATAGCTGATTGAGAGAACTCACTGTCAGCTGCCAACCAATACAGACTGTTCAACTTTTGTTTTTATTTTGTTGAAAGGTCTTTCTCTTGCTTTCATAGCTTGCTGTAAATACTGCATTCTAATCACTATGATATAAATATTTTTGATAAAAGAATTAATGGAAAAGTAATTGTAGAGACAAAAAACTGAGAAAGTTTGGCATTAATTATCTTGAAACACAGTCAGTCCCTCTGTCATTTGCAGATAGTCACTACTTTTAAAAGCAAATAGTTCTATTGGTCATGGCAACTCTCAGTAGCAGCTATGAGAAATAACCAACTCATGGCTGAATATAGTAAAAGTTTTTTCTCAATCACATCACAGTTTAATGTTTGTTGGGTGGCTCTCCTGAGCAGCACCATTCCTCTGGAGTGACGTGGGGACCTACTGCTTCTATCTAGTGGTCGGCCTTGTTGGAATTTTCTATTTCTAGCTGTAAGGGCAAGGGACACAGAGTGGGTGGGGAGGGGACACAGAGTGGGTGGGGAGGGCACCCTGGCTCTTTACTCCCTGAATCCTAACATGGCACACTGCACTTCCAGTCACGTTTTAGTGGCCAGATATTAGTCACAAGGTCAAGTATAAATGTATATTTCAGCCTTCTGATATTTGCACACAGACTTCCTGAGTGTGCAGAAAGAGAAAAATGGGCAGTTTAGGAAACCCAGGGATGTGGGGAGGTGAGTGTATACCCACGTATATAATAAGCCAGCAACAGCTAAAGATTTAGAACATGGCATCCAGATCCATAGTCATTTTTTAAATGGACAAATACCATAGTCATTTTTTAAAACTTTGATGAGATTATGAATGAGAAACAATTGAACATTATTTTTTGAAGCCATTATTTATTTATGACATTTCCTATTCATTTTACATTTTTTTCACATACGTAAAAGAGAAAAATTGGATGTACATATGCGTGCTTAACAGTGGAATAGTGTTGACATATTTTCCCCTCAGGGTTTCACCGGGAGTTCTTAACTAAAAAATATGTATCCTCATAATTAATTAAGAATGTTATTAATTTTGCATCAATAATCATTATCTAGGTGATTTTATTTCATTTAATCATGCAATATGGCTATTTCTACCTCTGAGAGTCAGCCTGTTCCCTGAGATTTTTTCTAATTTTTTATACCCAGAAAACTTAGTATTTATGTATATTTTCAGAAAAAGTATTAGGTGAATATTTATATTTTTATTATTTTATTTTCTTTAAATACAATATGTCACATACTTATATATGTGATATGTTTCACATATATCAAAACATCACATATTTATGGTGAACAATATGATGTTTTGATTTGTGTGCTATAAACAAATCCAGCTAATTAATATATCCATCATCTCACCTACTTATCATTTTTTGTGATGAGAACATTTAAAATCTACTCTTTTAGCAATTTTGAAATATACAGTACATCATTATTAACTATAGATACCAAGCTAATTATGAAACTAAAATTTTCTATCTTTTTGATGTTTCAACAATTTCAATATTTTGAAAATATTTAATAACTGAAGTGTTATTCATTTGAGTATCTTAAGATGATATATTCAAAGAGAGATCATACAATATGATAATGCTATTAAGCATTTTTACAAATGTTCAATGATATTAAACAAATTAAAATTAAAAGTACTTCTATTTGTGATGAGCTCTTAATACATAAGGGGTCATTTTTTGAGAAACAGCTGTTATATTACTTTCTTTTCTCAGGTATGTAGTTAACAGATAAAAGTTTAGATAATGAATAAAATCTCACAGATCACTTTTCCATGTGCATACATTGTTTGGATAAACAACTGATTAATGATGTCTCATCCTTTCAATCAGAAATGTATTTGTAGGAAATAAAAAGTGTGAATGCTTGAGCTGAGGCTGTCAGTGATATTATTTTGCATAATTATATTTTCTGTTGATTCATTTTGCATATTTCTTTGGATGGAGCTTCTCTGAATTGATTAAAACTTCCATTTTATCACCTATTTGAATTTAATTTTTGCTCAGGAAATTCTGCTTCGAATGGACATTTTGATGCATCATATTCATAAGAAAAGGAAAAGAAAGCATAGAAGGTGAGGGGCCTGGGAGTTTCCACTTACCTTGATCCCTGTACCATTTATTTGCTGGTTACCAGTTCCTCCTCTCTGATATGTGGTTGGGATAAAGTTAATGGGTAACCTTTCAGGCTCAACATTTCTCAGCGTAACACTTCTCTTTGAACCATAGAGAAAGAGAAATTCTTAGACTCTAACACTCTATCTTGTTGCTCTTAAGATTCCAGGTGAATCCGGACACAAAGTGCCTATTTTACACAATAGGATCCTGTTGTGCTGAGTGTGTCAGAGCATAGGCTGGCATCTCATAGCTCTTACTGTTAAAAGAAAAAAAAATATGGCAATTATTTCTTTGTCGTGAGATGACATTCTCTGAGTGCTCAGTATCTTCTTAACTCAGCAGGAATACTCTTTGTAATATAGAAAGCATACAAGACAAAAGGCACCTTCCCAATTTGTGTGTTCTTTCTTTTAATCTTGACAAAAGTATTGCAGGCCTCTTTGGTGCCAGATTCTGTATAATACCCTGAAATGCAGAGACCTTGTGTGCTTAGATGACTAATACAATTAGATGACAGGGCAAAAAGAACACTGTTGGGAACGAGGTTCAGGAAGAGTTTGTCATAAGGATACGAAGTGGAAGGGCATTCCCCGCCAGAGAAAGCAGCAGCAGGAGGAGCAGACCTAAGATGGAATAATATGAACATATGGCAAACTATAAATTTCATGGAAGACTTGAATGTGAAGTGTTGGGGAAAATGCCAGGTAGGCAGGACATATAGCCACACCCTACTACAGAGAATCATTGTTTCTCCTTCCTTACACATTTGGTCTTCTAGGCAGTTTATCTCATGTACATGGAGAGTGAATATGGGTTCTGACTTGGCCTTGTACAGCCAGTTAATGACTTCCCTGGATTCCAACACCAAAAGATTCAGTCTCTGAAACTAGTTAATAGATAATTGGAAAAATGCTGCAAGCAGTTTTCTCAGGATATTCATACTCAGGATCCAGGTTGTAGCTCCTGTTTTGTGGGTAACAGCCTTGACTTTCATCCTTCAATCCCCACCAAACACACACAGACAGATTTTGATAGATAAGCCAGTCTCCAGTGGCCCACTTTATGCAATCTAGACACCTAACAGTCTCCTTGTTTCCATCTGAAGCTGATTTTTGTTTTTTGATCGGCACTACCACTCTCAGGCTTGGTTGATTGGAGAATTTGTGATGCACACCTGTCCTCAATTCCAGAATGCTGGGAAAGTCATTGACATGACTTTCTTCAGATGATTTGGTTTGGGCCGTATTAAATTTTGACTATTTCACCACCTTCTAATCTAGTACTTAGATTCATTCCAGCGTTGGAAGGTATGTAATTCTGTTGTGATATTAAGGTCACTACAGAATCAGGGCAAAGAGGAGAAACACAGAAAAATGAAAACAAAACACGCAGGCTTCTAATGAGAAGTCGCATGATACAGACTTTAAAAGCATGGGTTTGTGAGCAAGACCTGGCTTGAAATTCCTCTTGTTCTACCTCTTATTCGCCATAGAGATGATTGAGCAGTTGACATAACTAGTGACTTAGTTTCGTCTTCCATAAAATGTTTTTCTACATTATTAGCTTACTGTGATGAAAAAATAGGATAATGCATGCAAAGCTCCTTTTCCCAGTACGTGGCACTTAATAAGCCCTCCGTGAATGTTAACTATTATTCTTACTTTCATGATGGTTTGTAATCCCAAGAAAAGATAACAACCGTTTTTCCTTTTGGCTTCTTTCTTTGGTTGTTTTATTTTGTTTGTTTGCTTGTTAAGTGTTCAATAGATATTTGCTATTTTTTAATATAACAGTTGACTGTTCTTACTTTTTTGGGAGGTGGATGTATGCAATGTATTAAATATGGTAAATTTTCAGAATCGAAGAAAAATGCTTCGTTATAATACATCATGGAATAGCACACGTGTGATATCTTAGGTGTTGGACCACCTGAGAAGTAAAGGATTATCCTCTACATTTTGAAAAGTTCTGTGGGTGAAAAGAAGAAGGCATGGCCAAAGAATCCGAAATTAATGGATTAGTTATCTCTCAAAAATGGAATTTAGTTTATAAAGTTATAATTAATAAAATAATTAATAAATTACCCATTGGGACAGAAAGGGAAAACATATGAAAGACATATGTTTATATCCCAAAATGCTCTGACGAACTTAGATTTGAAAAGAAAAGACCATGTCAGGAATAGTCACATGAGGGTTACAGATTTTTGTCTTTATTATGATGTGGTATTTTGTTTGGACCTGAGAATTGGTAGTGATAGATTAACTTACCAAGTAGTAGATATTTAATCAATAAAAAATTTTTCTAAATAAAAAAATAGTCGTCTGAAACATAATGGGCTTTGTTAGTGGGAGGTTGTTTAGGTCAATACAAGATAATCACTGGTGATGTTGTTTTGCTCTGCTGTGGGAACAAATAAATTCCAAAGTTGTAGTGTCCTCACAGTAAAGGAGTTTATTTCTTATTCATGTAGAGTTGCTGTAGGTCTGGTGACTCTTCACAGCAATACTCTTCCAAGCGATACCTGAAGGATCCACGCTGTTTTCACCTCTGTCTCCACCATCTAAACCCACAGGTTCCATGGTCATCTTTGAAGGGCAGAGAGAGACAAAGGAGCCCCATCAGTTCTTAATTCTTCATATTGGAAATGAAGATTTTTATGGTCATATTTCTGTTTCCTAATAATATTTATACTTAGCTCCCATTCTGTCTATGAGGAAGTCTTGGAAGTACTATTTTCCTGTGATATAGGAAACACCTAACACTCTCGGCCACTAAGGATATTTCTCATGACTGGACTATAGGACAATCCTAAATCTACTGTCAGAAATTCCGATGATTA